>NC_000001.11:55008380-55159895 GCF_000001405.40 Homo sapiens | reverse complement strand
ATTATAGTAAAGAAGCTGAGGCACCTAAGATTAAGCAGAGTCAGTTAAGGGTTTATTTGGCAGTATTAGCTAGTTAGTAGCTGCTCTGATATGAAAATTTTTATCTTTTCATTGCACCTTCTCCTTTGTGAATTGTAGATGAAGAAGTATTCTCTCTCTACTTTTGGGACAGCTTCGGGAGTTCTTAACTGTAGCATTTTATTTCTACAGCCCATGCTAGACCCAGTCATTCTTACTACAATCCAGGATGTACGGAGTGTAGAAGAGAAAGACCTCAAAGACAAGGTAAATGCCTTCTCCAGCCAGATAGGCCCCAGTGCCAGTTAGTTCACAGAAGCAGAGCCAGGACTTAGCAGGGTTCACACACCATGCTCTTTGAATTCTGGTCACATGCATTCACATCGAATTAACTTTACATTTCCTAATTAAAAAGTGCTGTTTCTGAAGCACCATTGGTGGTTGTTACCTCTAGTCAATAGAGTTAATACAGTGTTCTCAGTAAGTGATACCATTCAGAATTTTACTAACATGATTTTGATGGTATCACAATTGGCATAGAGAAAGTTTTAAAATAATACAGTGTTACAACTTACCCAGAGTTGTTTAAAGCAATTTTACCATTTAAATTTAATATGACTTATTTTGTCTACCCTAAATTTTTCACAGGACCATTCCCTTTCCTTTACTGCTCACCCATGTGCTAAGTTTTGTTTCTAAGCAAAATGAAGTTAATTGGCCTTGTAAAATATCAGATACTGCCAGACCACTGTTACCCTATATTCTTGTGTATGTTATAAGAATTGGGATCAAAATGTTTTTACAGTTCCTTTTTTGTTTTTTTGTTTTTATTCAATAAAAGAGATTGGTTAGCATCCCTGAGCTCTTGTCTGCCGTTAAGTTACTTTGCATGCGCTTCCAACCGGATCTGGTGACAATTGTGGATGACCTTCGACTAGATATTCTATTGCGCATGCTGAAATCACCACATTTCAGTGCTAAGATGAATTCTCTCAAAGAAGTAAGTTTTTCATTTGTTTCTACAAGACTTAATGCACAGATACTAAGTTCTGCCAAGATGTATGCTTATTAATATAACAATTTTGGGAAATATGAATAATTTATTGTAATCATATAAAAAAGAGAATGATTGTGTATAAAATGTTGTATATAATTGTTGGTAAAGACATCTTCTGTGTTACTTTCAAAATTTACATCTGAAATATTTAAAATATTTACTGTTTTTGTGAAATTTCCTAGAATATAATCCCTTAGAATATACAGTTTGAGATTTACTTTTGCTCTAAGGGTACAGTTGGTTTTGTTTTATTTCAGGTGTAAGTTTACTTAAACCAAATCTTCTAACTGGGGTTGGGACAAAAACTAAATGACTGCAGCAGTGTTGGTCAAAGCAAAATGATGGAAATAATTTTCTGTAGCTTTCTGAATTTGTTATCATATCCACAGAAACAGCACAGTTGGTTTTGGTGTGTGACACATGGAGCCAATGCAGTTCAGTTATAATTCACTTATTTTTTCCTTCGGTTTTGTATTGTTAGGATTCTTGACTACCAGTGAAAGAAACTCATCTTGAACCATTTTAGACCAAAAGAGGAGTTCATTGAAAAGAGGCTGGGTTATTTTACATGAATGAAAGGTTTACTAGCCAGACAAGAAAGGATGGGCACATGTGGGCAACAGAACAACTAGAATTTGCAAGCTGACCACTGTCAGGACTCTGTCCAAGTCTTGTCCCTGCTTTTCTTAGTATGTTGGCCTTGCTGCCTCTCTACCTGCATTTGGCATTTTTCATACGGTAGAGATCAAGACAATGAATAGATCCGATGTTTCACATCCTGCAGTTCCCATCACCGGAGAGGGACTGACTCACTCCTTCTGCATATGAAGTGTCTTCCTGACACTTCTGTATACTTTCCACATATAAAATTTGGAGGGAGTGCCTGATTGAGGTTTGGGTTAGATGTTCATCCCTGAGCCAATTAGCAGTGGTCCAGGGAATGACAGCTGTAAGAATGACTCCATGTTCTTTTTTTTTTTTTTTTTTGAGATGGAGTCTCGCTCTGTCACCCAGGCTGGAGTGCAGTGGCACAATCTTGGACCACTGCAACCTCCGCCTCCTAGGTTCAAGCAATTCTCCTGCCTTAGCCTCCTGAGTAACTGGGATTACAGGCGCCCACGACTACGCCCAGCTAATCTTTTATATTTTTAGTAGAGACAGGGTTTCTCCATGTTGGCCAGGCTGGTCTCAAACTCCTGACCTAAAGTGATCCACCCACCTTGGCCTCCCAATGTGCTGGGATTACAGGCGTGAGCCACCGTGCCTGGCCCTCCATGTTCTTTTTAAAGGGACATCACAAATGGTAGTCTGTTAACTTCTTATAACTGGCCTTTGATATATTTTGGCTAGTTATTGAAGCACATTGTAACATTGTAAAAATTATCTATCTATCTATATAAATATTTGATAATGTATATTAGACTCAGTCACAATAATCTTATCTTTTTAGGTAACCAAACTAATAGAAGATAGCACTTTATCCAAATCTGTGAAGAATGCTATAGATACAGACAGATTATTAGATTGGCTAGTTGAAAACTCAGTTCTGTCGATTGCACTGGAAGGTAAGTTGCTTTCAAAAATAAAAATTACCTAACACATAATTTAAATAATATATCTTTGTATTAAAAAGTATACAAAATTGTTGCTTTGACTGTATTAGTCTTTAAATGATCTTATAGTAAGTTATTGTTTTGAATCAATAGAATTATATTTAGAGAGTCAGTGTTCACTATATCTGACTTTCTCTCTCATGTTTCTTCAATTAGGCAACATAGACCAAGCACAATACTGTGACCGTATAAAGGGAATTATTGAACTCTTGGGTAGTAAATTGTCGTTAGATGAACTCACTAAAATTTGGAAGATACAGGTAGGTTGATCAGAATTATTTTTGCCTTTGGCTAATGTTTTTGGACTACAGGAGAGCGAAAAGGGTGATGAGAGAGCAGGAAAACGGAAACTTTATCTTGCTTTAAACAGAGCAGCTGTACCTAACCCACTTTACAGTTTCAGGTTTTTATTAAGATTGTATGTGTAAATCCACTCACCACAAGAAGTTTCAAACTGCTGATCTAGTCTGGTCTTCTAATTTTTTAAATTAAAAAATGAGAAGGTCATATAGCAGTTAGTGGCAGAGCTAGGAATAGGTGTGTGTCTTTGTTTATCAATCTAGTGTTCTTTTCATTATATTATTAATTTTCATTAATAATTTTTTTCCCATTTAGTCCCTATTAAATAAAGATGATTGGTGAGTTTGTAGATCTCATCTTACTAGGACTGTCAAGAGGTGTGACAGAATCCAACATAGTCTTCAATTTTTTTTTCTTCACTTTGGTCATAGTCCATTTTACTGGTTTTCCTAACTTTCCTAGCATTGCTCCTTGAGTCCCCTTTACTAACTTATTCTCTTCTACTTTGACTTTATTTGTTTTTTTCAAGCCTTAGTTCTTAGCCCTTTTCTCACTGTATTGGTTTTCATAAGTCAATTGCAGGCATTCCTGTGGCTTTGACTACATTTGTATGCTGTTGACTCTGAATTAAATCTCTAATTCAGATCTCTTCTTGGAGCTCCAATGCAGTATATCTAAATATGTAACACACATTCCCATGCATAGTGCATTGGCATCTTAAATTCATTATATCCAAACATGGTCATTCTCCAGTCTATTTCATTAATGGTATTATTCTTCATCTAGTTGGTAAGCCAGAGAAAAACCTGGAGCACTCTTTGACTGTATCAACTTAGTCACTGTATCAGTCAGAATCTAGTCAGGAAGTAGAAACTATGCTAGGTATATCAAGCAAAGGGAATTCATTACAGGGGATTGTTTACAAAAGTCTTCCTAAGTAAGGTAGAGGAGCAAAAAAAGAGAATGTTGGAGAAGCAAAAAGAAGGAAGGGGTATTAAGTTCAAGGAAATGAAGCTGCTCTTGGAGGTGCTTTTACTTTAAGTGCTGGAACTGTCAAAGAGGTGCTACTGCCACCAAGGTTTCCAGAGTCCCTTGCAGCCACAGCCAGCATCTGCATCCACTCTGAACCTAAGCCAGACGTACTTCATCCTTCATCCTGCCACTCATCTCCCAGCGCTTCCTCTCATTGGCAGAACGTAACAGGAAGTTGGCTGGCAGAGGAGTTTGGGAAATGTAGTTGGCAGGCTCCCAGCCCAGCATTACAGAGCAGACTATAAAAAGTCAGGTGCAGGAGTAAAAGAAAACAGTCCCGGGTCCCAAGATATTACTTCCCATGTCTTGACGTTGGTGGAATACACTCATATAATTTTGTTTTGCGAGTATAAATTTTGAATCCACATAAGGTTGAAGATTTAGGTTGAAGATTAGAGACCATGATTTATATATTGTATATTCCTACTACATTCAATGAATGACTCTATGTGCATAGTATATATTGAGAAAATTCTTAAGGAATTGAATCTAAAAATGTCCTCTTTGATTTCACATCTCACATGATGAACAGTGAGGCATGACAGTGACATAATTGACGTTATAAAGTGAATTTAAACCTTAAGGTTGACAATAGGGTCTATAGCTCTGCAGCAAAGACTTACTGCCAATAGGATAAATAAACATTAATTGAAATCACAAAGTATCTATGAGTAAAATAAATAATGAGGCAGGTAATACGCTCAATTGGAACCTTCAGGATCATTTATAAAATGTCAAAAGTGGGTACATTTGTTTTATAATTCAATCTGTTTAAATCTTTCAGCAGTTGAAAATATTTTGTTCTCTTCTTGAAGTGAAATATGTCACACTGAGAACTTGATTCTCATGGGGTTTTTTTTTTTCATTGTCGGTTTAAAGAATTAATGCTTCTAGGAATTTAAATAAGGCCAGCTGATAACGATTAATAATGGTTGCTTCATATAGTCTTGCCAATATTATGCAAGTGGATGCTGATTACACTAGAGTCAATTTGTCTTTGTTATATTTTTGCTTGTGCTTCTGTAAGTTGCCAGGGGGAAGACTTAGGTTGTTCCGAGTTCCAAGACTTAATTTTTTTCCAATGTTTCCTTTTCCAGTCAGGACAATCATCTACTGTGATTGAGAACATTCATACTATTATTGCTGCAGCGGCTGTGAAATTTAATTCAGATCAGCTTAATCATTTGTTTGTTCTCATTCAGAAGGTACGTGTTCAGTCAGACTTGCTTACTTTTAAATTTTCTTAAAATAAGCTCTTTTGAGGTCCTGAATACCCCTCCTCCCCACCAGTTAGCAGTATTTAAATGTACTTTTCTTACGTTGTTAATGTTTTTAGCTCAAGTTTAAAATTTTTGCATATTTTGCCAGTTTGATCGTGAAGCAATTCCTGTGTCTTTTCCGTTCTACAGAGCTGGGAGACTGAGAGTGATAGAGTAAGACAGAAGCTTTTGAGCCTGATTGGACGAATAGGCCGGGAAGCTCGCTTTGAGACCACTTCTGGAAAGGCAGGAGAATCAAATGGATTTTTCTAGCTACAAATGCTCAAAGCAGCTATTTGCATATTGGCTGGCTGATCATATGTAATATTATTGTAGGTTTTAGACGTACTCTGGGAACTGGCTCACCTTCCAACCCTGCCCAGTAGCCTTATTCAGCAGGCCTTGGAGGAGCACCTGACAATCCTTAGTGATGCATATGCAGTGAAAGAAGCAATCAAGAGGAGCTACATCATCAAGTGCATAGAAGATATTAAGAGGGTTGGTTTCAGCTTTTATCTGATTTTGTTGTTAGAGCAACAGTATTCCCTGAGTAATTAGAGCCAAATAATTTTCCTCCCCTGTTATGTAAATTAAACTAAATGCCATATCTGGAAGCTCTTACCTTAAAGTCCAAGATCGGGAAATTATAGGTATTGCTTTTACCAAGTCACTTATATTTCTCTTAAAATGAATTTTCAGCCTGGAGAATGGTCAGGTTTGGAAAAAAACAAGAAGGATGGATTCAAGGTAAGAATTTGCAGATGGAACCAACTAAAAGGTATACTAGTTTAATAATTTCCTTTAATAAATTACACCACAATTTTAAAATAATAGTATGTTTTAGTGTTTCTTAATGTTCATATTAAACTTGATGTCTAAAAATTTGTTTATGACCTATGCTTTATTATTTAAAGCTTGGGAGGTGCTCTTAATGGGAAAAAAAATCTAGGATCACATTCAAAGAGTAATTTTATTATATAATTTTCATAAAATTAGAAGATTTTCAACTTAGTTTTTCTTTTTAAAATTAAATCTAAAGTATGCACAGTTTTAATAAGTACAGTGGACTCCAAATAAATATTGTGCTTGTTTTTCTCCCATAAAGGAGAAATGGAGGAGCATTCATAGTATGAGAGAGAGAAAGGAAGGAGGTTCAGTCATCGATTGCACATAGTAGTGTTTCAGGTTCTTCATTTAGACATGTTCCTAAAGTAATTCTATAGGCAGTCATTCAGTGAGTATCTGTTGCTGGGGCTTCATTTTAGAAGGTAGGGTTGGATACGGACTTGTATAAGAGGGACTGGGACTGTAGGTTACTGTGAACTTCTGGACTGTCCTTGGAGGTGGTGGTTAGCAGATTGAGCGGTAATGATTGCAGCTCTCCTGTTGTTCCAGTCCTTAAGCCTCAAGCCTCTCCTCTGAGAGGGCTGATCACAGCAGCCAGCTCAGTGGACTGTGCTTCTGTTGTTGCAGCAGCCCTAATTGGAGCAGCATTGTCCTCTCACCTAGACCCTCAGGGTGCCCAGACCAAACTTAAAGCCTAGCACTGGAAAGGCTTCCGCTTTCTGATTTTCATTTTATTATTAACATAAGAAAAGTTTTGGTAGAATAACTAGTGGCTTAATAATTTCATTAGTAAAACATATTCCTTGGCTTTTGTTAAGTATTTCTTTAAAGGATCTTGGATACTGCCAACTAATTTTCATTGGTATATTAAGAGACTCTTAGCTCAGTGGGCTTTTATTTCTTATGTTGTGTTTGATCACAAAGTTTAGTTGGGGGCATTGAAGAACTTTGTGTTTTATATTTCTGACACTGAAATGTGACCAGGTGAATTTTCTACATGTAACCCAGCTTTAGAAATTTTAAAAGGTATTTGCAAACTGGAGCTGGTAATTCTCAGGTTATGAGGAATTTTTCTTTTAACTCAATAACATTGCTTTCTTTTCACTCAGATACAATTTGAATTTTTCCAGTTTCCTTAGCTCAGTGATTCAAATAACTTAGCAACCTCTCCTTATGATTAAAATTCATCCAGTTACTGAAGATGTTTAGAACCTTCAATAGTAAGAGGAAAAGGGTGTCCATAGAAAAATGGTCTTGTCTTCTCAGCAACAGACACGTTTCTTTTATATATAAAAGGTCAAAGCTGAATGGATTTTTCCCTCCCTCCAGGGAAGTGGCGTTTGAAACCAGAATATCCCTCCTGACCATTATTCCTTCCTTGTTACAGCTAAACATTACTTAGCTTTTCTAGTCAGTTGCATCACTGCATCTTTATTGCTTCTCTTTGCAGTCATTTCATTTATGTCTGTTGTTTTATAACAAAACTCAAAAAGTAAAAGGAGAATTTTTGGAGTTATTTTGTGAGACTCGAAAGGAATATTCTTTCTTTTTTATTTCCCCACTGCTCCCAGTAAAGAAATACTGGTGTACCATTATTTCATTCTAAACAATAATATCTTGCCTTTTATATAGCACTTTTCAGTTTACTAAGTGCTTTCATGGACTTTTA
The DNA here is from genome assembly GCF_000001405.40 of Homo sapiens. Taxonomy (NCBI): domain Eukaryota; kingdom Metazoa; phylum Chordata; class Mammalia; order Primates; family Hominidae; genus Homo; species Homo sapiens. The sequence goes on along the minus strand of NC_000001.11, from coordinate 55,152,101 downwards.
CAAAGTACACATTGCTGAAGGGGGGCAGTGGGAAGATCAAAGCCCCCTGGATATGGCTCCAGGCAGGGGGGTGAATTATTTACTTCCACTAAAGGTGTTTTTCTATGCTATGCCCTTTCCTGCCAGGCAGCAAGGTGGGCTGACTGGGGATTATGTCTCCCTGCCAGGCTACACAGAAACTAAGCAAAGGGTAAGACAAGATCACCCACTTCTTACTCCCCTCCCACCCTCAGCTACCTCTATTCCCCCAACTGATTACCCTTCCCTCTGCTTTTGATACTCTTAAAATTCCCAAGTTCCACTGTTGTGTTCAGAAATTCTGGCCTTGATTTCCTAACTTTATTTCTGTAGATTCTGCAGGGTACCCTCGGCTCCCTTGGTCCTCTTTCCTTTGCTGCTTCTATACCTTCCACTGTCTACCCCAATCCTTCCCTCTTATGTCACTTCTTTTTTTCTTCAATTAAAAAGTTTAAATGTACTCATCCAAAAAAAATTACTAAACCAAAAAAAAACCTCATTTTTCCTCAGTTAGTTGTACTGCATATTCCTTAAGTTGTTTATCTTCAGGCCACCTACCATAGCGCCTGACAGGCTTTTAGCAAATGTTGGTTTCCTTCCTCTTACTTCCTCCCCTTCACCCTATGAGGACACCAAAAGCCTTACATAGCCATAGCTGAGTTGCCTCTACTTACCAAAACACGTAACAGAAAGTAAAAGTAGCAAGATGTCCTCAGTACAGATACTTTCACATGATGTGGTTAGTACAGGAGGAAATAACTTTTAGAAATTGTCCTCCCAAGCAAAAATTTTTGCTGTGGTCCTAGATAGAAGGATAGGTCTGGAAAAACAAGACAGATGAGGAAGTGGGGATGTTCAACTTTGAGAAGAGAGAACTCAAGAAAATGTGAAAGCTTTTTTTAAATACTTAGAGCATTGTTATAGAGAAGTTTCATTCAACTTACTTTTTATGTCTCCAAAGAAGTTATGCAGAAGCATGTTTCAGTATCAATGAACTTTTATATGAGAACAGTCTGAAAACAGAATTCAGTCCCTTCTGAGGTAGTGAGTTCCTCATCAGTGGAAATACTAAGTCAGTCATTGTATAAAAAATGAATAAAGAGAATTTAGGCATAGGTTTGCAGGCTAAACCAACTGACCTCTAAGGCTTCATCTAATGTTGAGTCCAATTTAGACATCCCATCAGGTCCTACTTATGAAATCTCCACTCTGTGACATTATCAGATATCTTCATTGTAATTGGAGAAGAGTAATTTAAATTTTTCTTATAACTTGTCACCACGTCATAGATAAGATGAAATAAACAACATCTTTCCTGTTTGCTAAACTTTAAGAAGGCTATATCAGAAATAATTCTTAAATTTTAGTTTTATAGACTTTTTCTTTGAATTTTATTGTATAACAAGTTACCTTCAAAGGATAATTTTCAATATTAAATAAAAATATTGTTACCATAATTGACTTAATTGGCCATCATGATACTTTTTAATATATTTGCTTCTTGCTGAAGAGTTCATATTTATGTCCCAATTTTGTAATCCTTTTGGGAAGGTATCTGTTTGGATATAAACCTTACAGTTTTTATTACTGTCATTTTGCAACTTTTATAGTGTAGCCAGAAGTAGTCTAGCTAGTCTCACAAGTAGTTGACCTTTAATATATACCTTATTTCTGTGATTCTAAGATGCCAGTGATTGCACCCTGCATCTCAGATTTAATAAACTTGCAAAGAAGAAAAAAAGAAACTGTCCGTTTTGCAGTTATGGACCATTGGTTTAGATTCTTAATGAGAGGTTGAGCCTAAGCCTTTTTTTGAACAATTATGAACAACTTCATGGGAGCACACTGCTTTGCATTGTATATAGTAATGCTTTGGACCTCTCTGAAATCTTTATGATTGGCTGTATAATTTTGAGGCATGTTGATGAATATGGAGTTTTGTGTGCTTGTTCTCTTTTGTAAAACTCAACTTGCTTTTTTTCATAATTGAGTTATGTACACTACAAGTTAAACACCTTCTCTTGAAATAAGGTGCAGCTTAGGACAGAGAGACATTTAGTGCTGAGTGGTACAGCCCTTCACAGGGTATGAGTCTGTCATGCCAGCTTCTCCTGACTTCGGAAAATGCTTTAGTGTGAGACCACTGACTGTTTTATTTTAATTGTGTTGATGGACACAACTGGTTAGTTAGTGTTGCATTATAGTGTAATCTTTTTGATAACATTTAAGTAACAAATTAGTGATCCAAATTTAAGTGAGAAAGCCATTCTTGTTTGGTACTACCTATACCAGGTAACAACTAAAATGATAGGTAGAAGAACAAATACCTTTTGTGTACAGCTAAGTTTGCACATACTCAGGTAAGCACAGCTATATAAAAACTTACTCCTGTGCCTAGTGGCTGGTGAGTTTCTTTTGACATAATTGTCTAAAGTGTCAATTTCAGATATGTTAAAATATATGAAATCTTTGTCTTAGAATCTAGGAAATACAGTATTTGCTGATTGAGGATTGGCTGATCCCTATGAGGCAAGGAAAAAAGTATTGTGTGACAATAACTTGCTCACATTTACATATTCAATAGTGAGATGTTTCTCTACAAAGACAACAAAAGTGTATTTCCCCTCCACAAGGGTCTTCATCTTACACTAAGGCTCAATAGAACAAGGAGGCATTAAAACAAAAACTTCAGCCTCTGAAGAATGCTGAGGACTTAAGTTTTTACTCAGCTTTTTGGTTAGAGATTTAATAGTCATGTTTAAACTGAAATTCTTACCAAATTTTGAAATTTCATAGTTTGAAAGATGCTATTTATTAAAAAGTAGTTCTCTTTATAAAGAGTATTACACAAACAGTAGACTTTTTAGATCTGTACTATGACGATCTGGATTGTCATATACCAGTTTCAGAAATAATATATTTGGAAGTGTTTTGAAAAATGTACAGTGTAAGTGTAAAATGTCTGTAATAATAAAAATAGAATTACCTCTTATGAAAGTGTTTTAACTAGGAAATACAGATTATGAATATTTTCTTTAATATTTAGACCACTACCAGTGTCTTGATCATATCATTGGTATCCTAGTCATATAATCATAGAAAGCAATATTCTTACTCCATTTTACTTACCATGCAGTTCAGTGTTATCCAAGTTAAGCTTTGGCCATCAGTTTATTTTGTGTCAACATGACTTAGCAGCCTGTGCTACTTAATCTATCCTCTGAAGTTGCTAATTCCTTGTTGTCTGTTTTTTGCTGATGTACCCCTGTACATTTACTGTCACTTCACATCCACTCCTGTTTGCAGTTCTTAGCTTTAGGAAATTGCATGCAGAATAAGAAGTTGAAGACTGAATTATGAGTGCATGGAGATAAGCTCTAAATGGTCAATATAAAGAGTAAAATAATAAAATGTGTAACAGTAAACCTGATTGACTTGAAATTTTTTATAGCTAATAAATGAATCTGCTGTTTATTTCTAAATTTAATTAATGTAACTTCTTTTTAACTCTAGTCATCTCAGCTTAATAATCCCCAGTTTGTATGGGTGGTACCAGCTTTGCGTCAGCTCCATGAAATTACTCGCTCATTCATAAAACAAACCTATCAAAAGCAAGACAAGGTAAGGGTATAGCTATTTTTTATTATTATAGTTACTTGCATAACTTTTACAATAACAAAACATGGCTAAAATTGCTGAGTTTATAGTCACTATCTTTATGTTTATTGATGTAATTCACTTATATCATCTAATAATCTTGAGTTTAAGCATCATTCTGCTTTCATTTCTGCAGAGCTTTTTTTTTTTTTTAATCTCCTTAACTCATTTTCTTTTTATTTGCTTAATTTTCAAATAGTTAAGCCAGTTTTTAAAAGTTAGAATGGCATTTTAAAAATTGGTTTGAAAAGATTAAAAAGCTTGTTGCTTGTTTTGTATCACAAAAAGATTAGTTTGCTTAAAGTACTAGAGTTTCCTCAATGTATAGACTTGGGAAGGATGATCCAGAAAAGTATACAGGAAGTGAAATAGTTATTTTTATAGGCTTTTTAAAAAAATAAATAAAATGAATATTTTTAGATGGAAAACATTAGTAGTTTATTAATTTTCTAGTAAATGTACATACCAGATTGATTTTATTTACTTTTGTGTAGGAAATACGAATGAGGAAATTCTTATGTTTGCTTTGTCTCATCTAGGACTACATCTTTAAATAGCAGCTTGTATTAAACCAGCAAAATAACTGCAAATTCTCATTACCACTTTTCTTTTTGTTATTTTCGCCAAGAGCATTATTCAAGACTTGAAGAAGAATTTTGAAATAGTGAAATTGGTAACGGGAAGTTTGATCGCTTGTCATCGGCTTGCAGCTGCTGTGGCCGGGCCTGGAGGCTTAAGTGGCTCGACACTAGTGGATGGCCGGTACACTTACCGGGAGGTATCAGGCCTTGTGTTTTTGCTTCATGATTTACAACATTAATTTGACCTTTTTATACTTATACTATAAAAAGAATTTTTGTTAGCTGTAACTATAAAGAGGTTGTATGAGGTATCTTTGTAGTGAGGGAACAGTTTTGTATCTTGGTGTTTGTGAGTTATCTTTCATATGATGAAGGAATAAACATCTTTTTTTTGTCTTTGATCTGAAATAATAATTGCTAATTCAGTGGATAATGGGTTTTGTTTTTCAAATCAATTGATTAGTAACATTATTGTTTTTTAAAAAATTAGGAAAAAAATCTTAACTCACCAGTTGTGAGTTTGTAGTGTTTTACTTTGAGATTGCTGAAATTACATTTTATTGACATCCAAAATCAACTGAATTTCTAATAGACTTGAGATAGATAGCTTCTATTACATTGTACTATCAATTTGTAAACAGAATTCTAATATTTACTTTACCCTAAATTATATGAAAAAGGATTAAGTAAAACTGTTGTTAAAACTTAAAGTTTTGTTTTGTTTTAATGTTGCTTTTAGGAATGAATGCCTGGAGTTAACTAATTAGCATTATTTCTTTTTGCAGTATTTAGAGGCACATCTAAAATTTCTAGCGTTTTTCTTGCAAGAAGCTACTCTGTATCTGGGCTGGAATCGTGCCAAGGAGATCTGGGAGTGTCTTGTAACTGGCCAGGATGTTTGTGAATTAGATAGAGAGGTAAGAAGGTGGTATTGTGGATAAAGTAAGGCAGAAATATTTAAATATTTCACTTTTTCTGTGTGTCTCACATCTTCTAAACACTTTTCAGTTTATATAAGCATAAATAGTATGGGCCAAGAACTGTAAGTGCTGAAAAAATGTTTTATATAACATATATTCATGATAAAAATAAATGTATGAGTTCTTTGGTAATTTTGATACCATTCTGGATAAAATACCAAATTTAACCAAATGAGTATAAAGAATTCTAGATATATTTAAGTTTTTTCCCTTCCATATGAAACTAATTTTAAGTTGCCAACAGAAAACTTTGAGTTCCTATAATGATGTTGCACCCCAAAAACAGTAAAGAAGAATTAGTACCTGGCCACATTTTTTTGTAAACTATAATTAAGCAGCCAAAGATAGATTAAATCAGGAACAGAACACCTGCCTTGACATTTTCTAGGAGTAAATTTCATTTTCCTCATCTTATTTGACAGAATAATATTAACTACTTCCTAGACTTGTCGAAAGGCTTCACTATTGTGATAGTGCCCAGCATAGTGCCTGTTGTAAGCAGGCAGTAAATGTTGATGGAAAAACCCAAGTATAAAATCCAGTGAAAAGTATGAGTAGATATTTTTATTATCTAGAAGAAAGATTGCTAGTAACTGCTTCATTTAATTTCAGAATTCCAAGCATTTTAGCTTTGAGTGGTATTTTGACAGTATAAACATTTGAAGTATTAAAATGTATCTTTACTTTTCCAGTTTGGAATATGTATGTGCCTGAAATGGATCTTAGTTATAGGGTGATATTCGTCTTATTCCACAGATGTGTTTTGAATGGTTTACAAAAGGACAGCATGATCTTGAGAGTGATGTTCAGCAGCAGCTCTTCAAGGAGAAAATTCTTAAATTGGAGTCATATGAAATCACTATGAATGGTAGGAAAAAACTTAAAATCATTTTTTTCAGTACTTTTAAGTAAGAAGTGTTATTCTTTCCTTTACTTTTAATCCTCCTTCTCAGAAGCAACTAAACAGTTAGGAATATCCTTCTAGAATTTTTCTTGTGCATCTAAAGACATATTTAGTACTCAAATTCCTTTCTACATGAATGGTATCTTATAATTAGTTTTTAAATCATATGGCCTGCTAGATCAAATTGCCAAATTGTCTTTTTAAAATTTCTTAGTACAAAAGGGTTCATTAAGGTAAAAATGTATCAAGGTATAGAAATCCTCCTTTCAGATGTTTCTTTTCATTGAATTTTTAAATTGAGATATAATTTACATACCATGAAACTCACTTTTTAAAGTGTACAAATGGTGGCTTTTAGTATATTCACAAAATTATGTAACCTTCACTCTGTTCCAATCCCAGAACATTTTCATTACCCCAAAAATAAACCTATACCCATTAACAGTCACTTTCCATTCATTTTATCCAGCCTCTAATCTATTTTCTGTCTTTATGGATTAGCCTAATCTGGACATTTGATATGAATGGAGTCATACACTGTGATCTGTCGTCTCTGGCTTCTTTCATTGTACTAAGGCATAATGTTTTCAGGGTTCGCCCAGGTTGTAGCATGTATCAGTACTTCGTTCCTTTTTATGGCTTTATAATATTCCACTGTGTGGGTATACCATATTTTATTTATCCATTCTTGAACTAATGGACATTTTGATTGTTGCCACTTTTTGGGTGTTACGGTTAATACTGCTGTAAACATTCATGTACAAGTTTTTCAGTGGGTACGAGTTTGCATTTCTCTTGGATGTATATCTAGAAGTCAGATTGTTCTGACATATAATTAACCTTTCAGGAACTGTCTGTTTTGCAAAGTGCCACGCTATTTCGTAATCCCACCAGCAATATATGAGGGTTCCAATTTCTTCACATCCTCAACAATACTTGTTATTATCTGCCTTTTTTTATTTTAGACATCGTAATGGGTATAAAGTGGTATCAAAATTTAATGGGTGTTTTTTTGGTTTGTTTGTTTGAGATGGAGTCTTACTCTTGTCGCCCAGGCTGGAGTGCAGTGGCACCATCCTGGCTCACTGCAACCTCCACTTCCCAGGTTCATGTGATTCTCCTGCCTCAGCTTCCCGAGTAGCTGGGATTATAGGCGCATGCCACCATGCCTGGCTAATTTTTTATTTTTAGTAGAGACAGGGTTTCACCATGTTGGCCAGGCTGGTCTCAAACTCCAGACCTCAGGTGATCCTCCTGCTTCAGCCTCCCACAGTGCTGAGATTACAGGCTTGAGCCACCGCACCCGGCCAAATCTAATGGTTTTAATGTGCACTTCTCTGGTGACTAATTATATTAAGCATCTATTTATATGTGCTTATTGGCCATTTGTTTATATTCTTTAGAGAAATCTTAAAATCTTTTGCCCATTTTAAAATTGGTTTGTCTTTTAATTCTTGAGTTGCAAGGGTTCTTTATATATTCTGGGTACTAGCTCCTTATCAGATAGTTGATTTGCAAGTATTTTCTTCCATTATGTGAGTTGTCTTTTCACTTTCTTGTTAATGTCATTTGAAGCACTTAATTTTGATTATATCTGATTTACTAATATTTTCTTTTGTTGCTTCTGCTTTGGTACCATATCTAAGAAGCCAATGCCAAGAGTCTTATGGTTTTAGTTCTTGATCCACTTTGAGTCTTTTCATTGATTATCTGTGTTACGTAGAGTACATGAATTTATTTGGCATTCTATAATTACAGGTTTTAACTTATTTAAAACTTTTTTTGAAAATGTGAATCTTTGTGATCATCGATTGAAAAGACAAGGAGCTCAGTTGGTAAGTACGTTATTCTCAAATCTAGATAGTTTGGATAATCTAGTATAACTTGATATTCAGCAAAAAAAAAAGTGTTATAATTGAGAGATAACATGGATTTTTTTGGTAAAGAACAGCATCTCCTTGACTGCCAGCTTCTATGTTGATGACAGAGCTTCTCCTAGTGTAAGGGAGGCTCCTACCTGCACTACCATGCCTCACCAGCTACCTGCGAGGACACTGCTCTCTCTCACATCTCTCTGTTTCTGGCTGATCTAGGGACAGCCAGTGGCCTCCTGTGGCCACATGAATGCAGAGCAGGGATAGTTCACCTAAGCTTCGAACTCCTCAGATCCAGCAATTCACATGTACCTAAAAAAGCAAGAACAGTCTTCGTCCTGGGATCACAGTGGCAGGGATTTGGGGAGAAAAATTGAGGAATAGACAGTGAGGCAGGAAAACTAGGATGTACAGCTTATGTTTATATTTACACATGCTCCTTTAAAAAAAAAAAAGGCTTATTAACTCTTTTTCCAAGTCCTTTTTATTCAGGACATGGCTTCCTGGGTGGTTAGAATTTTTACAAGATTTTACAAGCCCTGGGTCCTACTGTTTACTACTGAGCTTTAGAAAGACCAGATTGAGCCCCAAGAATTAGTGACCACTTCTGGCTTGACTGTTTCCTTTTGAAGAAAAGCTCCTGAAGATGGTGCCCATCTCACTCCTGCTCTATTTCTGCTTCAGTAGCCTGTTGGGCTGTGTGTCCAGTTTGGGTCTAGGGATGTCTGAAGAGATATCTCTGTACCTATCCTGGTTCCCGTGGAATTTGCCCAGTGCTTCTGTGGTTGGTTGCTTTTTAAAGTTCCATATCAGTATAATATTATTTTCATATAGCTGAGGTTTTGCAGCCTTAATTCATATTGAACTGAAGAGGTGTGGACTCATGATGTAACAAAATAATTATCTGTGATTTTGTAACTTTGTGATCTTGATATGCTTTATAATTTAATTTTTTTTCTTTTGAACAGTATGTAGAAAAGCTGGAATTGATAGGAATGGATTTCATTTGGAAAATAGCCATGGAATCACCTGATGAAGAAATTGCTAATGAAGCTATTCAGCTAATCATAAACTATAGTTACATTAATCTAAATCCTAGATTAAAGAAGGTAGGTATCTAAGGAAAGAAGTTATCCATATACAAAAAAGCAGAAAATTATATGTATATTTTAGTGATAAGCTGTGATCCTTGGCATGACCAAAAATTGGCTTCTTTATTTTGATATTTTGTCCTGAATAATGATTACAACTAAATGTCAAGGACTAATTGTAATTTCCATATACTCTTTCAGGATTCAGTATCTTTACATAAGAAATTCATTGCTGATTGCTACACAAGATTAGAAGTGAGTAGCAAATTTTATTTAACATCTCTTTGAGGTAAATGCTTTTTTTCTTTCATAATTTTATATTTTTAGATAATTTATAATGTTGATGTTTGTGGCTGGATCCTATTGAAGAATTTATCAACAGTACCATATTGTGGCATAGGGAACAGATGTTTGCCCAGTATATAAGTGTACTCTATAGGAAATCTTTCTCCCTCTCACCACCTGTCTTCCCCACTCCATCCACCTTCCTCCCCTTTTGGAGTATAGGAACTATCTTCAGAAAATAGGTCACCTATACATTCCATATTTGTAATAGAATCTTTTTCTTTTTTTTCTTTTCCTGTTCAGGTATTTTATATAAGCACTGCTTCTTTTTTTGTTTTTCTTCATGTTTCACCTAGTTATACCATAAATGTTATTAAAGGCCACAGCAAGACAGTTAGTAGTAGGTGGTATTGGTTGTCTTTGTCCATTAGAAGCCTGCTGTGTAATGCTAGCTCACATGTATCTCTTTTATTTCCAGCATGACGGTTAAAGCCTTAAACATTCATATTCAGTTGATATGCTTAAGTTTTACATCTAAGCAAAAATGTTCCAAAAGCATAAAATGCTACTGCCTCCCAATTCCAATAAGTTAAGCTTTCTGGTGATAAATATGTGCTAGAATATGTACGGTATTTCCCTAATTGTGACTTCTATCCAAATATGTCATTATAAAAAAAATTCAAGTATTCGAATACCCCTTATGAGGTCCCATGTAAGTGTTAACATATATAGGGCACTAGTTCTCAGCTGGGGCTTATTTTGCCTCTGGGGGTCATTTGGTAATATCTGGAGGCATTTTTGGTTGTCCAACTAGAAGCATCCTACTGGTCCCTAAGTAGGTAGAGGCCAGGGATCCTGTTAAACATCCTACAGTGAATGCCCAGGACAGCCCTCTGCAACAGCAAATTATCCTGTCCAGAATGTCACTAGAGTCCAGGTTGAGAAACCCTGATAGAGAATGACTGTTTGGTATTTTTTAGGCAGCCAGTTCAGCACTTGGTGGCCCCACTCTAACACATGCTGTGACCAGAGCAACAAAAATGCTTACAGCAACTGCCATGCCAACTGTAGCAACCTCAGTTCAGTCTCCTTATAGGTAAGTGATCAGAAGTGAAAAATACACAACACACATATGTCAGTTTTTTAAAATGATTGGTGTTTTTTATGTAGGTTTCTCAGTTATTGATTTCCTCATTTTATATCATAATTTTTGCAAGCTGTCATAATCCTGAGAATTACATGTTCCCCATCATACATCCCTGAATCTGTGCCTCTTTGGAAGTTCTGTGTGTAGGTCATCACCAGGACCACCCGAGTACTTCCCTGTCCCTATCCTTCTACCTGGTGGACAGGTCTTCTTGTTTTAGTTTTTATTTGATTCATTTTACTTTTATTCTATGTAGTATGAATAACTTACTGTTTAGAATGCAATACACATACATTGTATGAAAACTACTTTTTTTCAAGTTAAAAATATTTACTTAGATATAGCTTTTCTCCTTGAATAGTCAAACTCAGGGCATTAATAGGGTAAGCAGAATGAAGTAGAAGATGATTAATTAAAAGTATGCATTATGCTTGCATATGATTAGTGACTATAATCATAGTCACTAAAATATTATTCAAATAATAAAAGTATTTTTCAAAATAATTTTTAGTGAGAACTTTATCCCCAAATGTTTGTGTGAAAACTTTAAACTGACATTGTCTCAATCACATTGCTGTTTTTTGAGTTTTCAGATATTGATGAAATCTTGAGTTTAGTGTCTGCTGTAGTTCTCTGATAACAGATTTCACTAAACTCAGATTTCATGAATAGGAGATATAGGAGAAACCATGCATAATTTGGAACATTAGATGGAAGTAACTAAAATACTTTTGTGGGTTTTTTATGAGCCTCTGCTGGTAAGCAACACCACGTCATTATTTCCCAGAAAACTGGCGAGTGCTCTGAGAAGGACTTGCTCTCCCTACCTCACTCTGCTGCTGCCCTCTAGTGATGGGTACTCATAGAGTCTTTCTCTACTCTAGAATGGCTATTCTTATTCACAACGGGATATTCCTTTGCTTGTTAAAGCCTTCCTTTAAAAAGGGGAATCAAAGCAATGAGTCCTTTCTTCCATTCTTCTTTTTTAAAATGAGTTGAGTATTGTGTCACTGTACTTTGTTAATATGAAGGAAGCCAATAAACTCAGCTTTCTCAGACTTCTTTTTTAAATGGCAGAAGTAATGATAGATTCAACTCATGATAAGAACACTAACATGACTTTCACATTCCCACATTCTTGGAAGTATTTCTCAAATAGACTTTCATTTAAAATGTGTATTAAGAATTCCCAATTATGTGTTTGTAATATGTAGCCATCTCTATGACTCAGTTCCTTAATGGTTCATTTATCTGATAAATTCGAATGTAAGTATATTTATGTGCTATTGGGTTAGGATGTCCAAACTCCTACTTCTTTAAATGAGTATGCTTTTTGTTTTTTTCTCTTTACTAAGTGCTTTTTATTCGGAATCATTTCATATTTGGTGGACTACAGAGAAAACCACATAATAATTTTAAAATATTATAAACTCTAAATAGGGTTAATAAGAATATATAGCTTCAAAGTCGAATTTGAACCAGAACATTGTAGTTTATCTCATTTCACTAGTTTGGAAAGAACTTTTCAGTATCCATAATTGTTCCAACTTGGGGTGGGGGGGGTTTCTGTCATCTGTACAGTATTTCATAATACTGTCTGTGATTTAATTCATTATTGAGGCATAATTAAAAAATAGTTCACTCACTTATTATGGACTTAGATATTTTCTAAAAATTTTTCGTCTGAATTTCAAGTTCTAGTTCTTGCCCATAGACTGGAATAATTTAGAACTCTGTTAAGTATATTTAATAGAACTGCTAAAATGTGTTTAACCAGCTGTTTTTAGAGTGAAATTTTTGGTACTGCTAATCAGCATACCAGACCAATTGTTAAAAAATGGTAGTACCTCTTTTCAGTTTTAGAAATATACCTCTTTGAAATATCTAGACTCTCTGGAATAGAAAATGTTTAAATTAAGGGGACTTGGATTTTCATTTCTTAATGTTAATACATGTAATGTTCTTTTTAGTAAAGTATGGGGCTATGACTATATAAGCTGATGAATATTGCAGTCTGATTATTTCAAATGATAAGTAAGATTCCATAAGTCTTCAACCAAAAGAGACCTCAGATCTCATTTTTAGATAGCAACTTTTGTTTGTGTCGTACTTACTGATTTGCATTTGTCTTCTAATTCTCAGGCAGTTCAGAACTTTGTCAGATTTCATGTGTTCACAGAATTGTATATCATATTTTAGTTATAAGATAAAGTCAGACTCACTCATTTCATTCTTGATAAATTAATGGACAGATAGGCCTAGAAACCCAGGTCCTCCATTTATGGAATAACTGTTTAAAGAAATGAAAAGAAGAAAGAAAAGGAAAGGAAACATGGGGAGGTATAGGCTTCTCCCTTATTCCATCTGTATGCTACAGCTGTGAGCTTGTAGAACCACCTCCCCATTGGGTAAAAGGGAAGTTTAATCTTTGCAAATTTCAGTCTTTGACCAGTGAGTGCTAACTGTTATTGTGGTTTTGGTGAAACAGACTAGAACTGAGCTCAGATCATCACACTTCAAATACATTTTAATACTTTTTTTTTTTAATCTATAGATCTACTAAACTTGTAATAATTGAGAGATTGCTGCTTCTGGCAGAGCGCTATGTGATCACTATAGAGGTAAGCCACTTCCTTTTTTTAAGATGTATGTTGCTTAGGCTGGACTCAAGCGATCTTCCCACCTCAGCCTTTCTAGCAGCTGGGAGTTTAGCACACACCACCACACCCAGTTAGCCTCTCTTTTCTTAAAAAAGCATCTTCATTCATCATATATACATAGATATGTATTTTTGATGTGTTTATCAGTGGTGCTGTCCATCTGACTTGACTTATTCGTTTTTTAAGGATTTTTACTCTGTTCCACGAACTATTCTACCTCATGGTGCCTCATTTCATGGACATCTTTTAACCCTTAATGTTACCTATGAGTCTACCAAAGATACCTTCACTGTCGAGGTAGGTTTACATTAAGAACTACAGCCATTTTCATGTTGTCTTATTATTTTCATAAAGCAGTCTTGATTGAGTTAGCTGCATGAATAATCATTCTAAAGGTAGTTTGGTAAACAAATGTAGAATAAAGACCTGAAATGAAACTGTGGGGTACAAGCAGATATATAAATAAATATTATATAATGTCAAGCGGTGGTTAAGTATTGTAAAGAACAAATAAGAGTAAAGCAGGATACATTGGTGAGGAGGGTGATAAGATGGGAATGCACAAAATATTTTAGGTAAAGATGGACAGGGAAGGTCTCTCTGAGGTGGTGACATTTGAGCACAAACTTGAGTAAAGTGACAGGGTAAATGACGTTTGCTTGGGAGAACATTCCAGGCAAATGGAAGAACAGGTACAAAGGCAAGCAAGGTGGCTGGTGTGAGGGGAGCACAGTGAGAAAGGGAAAGAGTGGACAACGCTGCAGTGGAAGAAGGGCTTGAGGTCTCATTCCACGCTTGATGGGGAGGAGGTGGAGTGTAGAATGGAACATAATTATAGCAGAAGGGAAGCCTCACGAGGGCAGGGGTTCTTGTCTTTATGTTCTCTGCTGTGTTCCCAGCTTCTAGAACAGTGCCCAGTACCTAGTAGATGTTCACTCACAGTTGTTTAAATGAATAAATAAATGAATTCTCTCACAACGTGTTTAATTTTATTTTACAGGCTCACAGTAATGAAACCATAGGGAGTGTCCGGTGGAAAATAGCCAAGCAGTTGTGCTCTCCTGTGGATAATATACAGATATTTACAAATGATAGCCTGGTAGGTTTAAATAAGCAGTTTTGATGAATAATAAATGATATAATATAAATATTTAGCCTGATATGAATAATTTCCTCTTCCTTTTCCTCTCAATAATTAAGAAACCACTTTTTGCAGCTGACAGTGAATAAAGATCAAAAGCTACTCCACCAACTGGGCTTTTCTGATGAACAAATCCTTACAGTGAAGACTTCTGGCAGTGGGACCCCATCTGGGAGTTCAGCAGATTCTTCAACCAGCTCCAGCAGCAGCAGCAGTGGGGTTTTTAGTTCTTCATATGCCATGGAGCAGGTACTGGGTGATCAATTTCCATTTAAAAACAAGAACTTAACAGTCACTGTCTTTTTGTTCTGACTCTTCCAAACTGTATAACAAATGCTGGGATTCATTAGTGTTCAAGCTTGTTGTGTTATTTCTTCCATCTTAAAAAAATCTCTTCATCCCACTTACACCTTCAGTTACTGCCCCATTCTCCTTCCAAAATCAGCAAAGCTCCTTGAAACAGTTGTCTGAACTCGTTTCCAGCTTTTCTTTTGCCATCCTCTCTTGATCTCTGTTGATAAGAATTAGCCTCTTTTCAAGTTGGTCTGTCACCTCCACCTCTTAGTCCTCATCTTCTTGACATTTCATTGAAGCTGATACGTGTGATCGCTTCCCCCTTGGAACACTCTTCACTTGGCTTTCGGGACTTGGTGTGAATTTCCACTGTCTCTCCGCCTGTTTGGTTTTTTATTTGGTTGGTTTTTTGTTTTTTGGTCTCCTTTGCCAATTTCTCTTCATCTCCCTGATCTCTGTACTGAGAAGTTCCCTGGCCCAATCTTTGGACCTCTCCTCTGTCTACAGTCATTCCCTTAAAAATCTCATCCAGTCTCCAGTCTCTGCATATTGTATGTACATTGCTAACTTCCACTTTTTAGTTTTAACCTGAAATAAATGGATCCATCCACTTAACATCTCTTAAGTGTCTACTAGGCACCCCAATCCTAATTTATCCCGAATTGAGCTCCTTATACCCTTTTCCCCACTACCTCACTCCCACCCCAAATCTCTTCTTCCCACAGCCTTGTTGTATCTCAAATGATGGCATCTCCAGTCTTCTAGTTGGCTCAGGCCAGAATCTTTGGGTTCCTTCTTTCACACCCGTGTCCATGACCAAATTCTTGACTCCACCTTCAGAATCCATCGACAATCCAGCTACTTTTTTCTGCATCCACAGCTTGCACACCAGTCTAGGCAATCACCATGCCTCACCTGGCATATTTTAGTAGTGCCCTAACTGCTCTCACAGTTTCTGCTCTTAGACCAGTTCAGTCTCTTCTCTACAGGGCACCCAGTGGCCCAGGATCTTACTAAACATAAGTCAGATTGTACCACTCGGCCCGAGTGGCTCCTGTCTCACTCAGAATAAGAGCCAGTCTTTACTGGGACCTTCAGGGCCTTCCTAATGTGTCCCCCGGAGCCTCTCCAAGGTTGTCTCCTGTGAGCTTCTCTCACCACTCCAGCCTCACTGGCCTCCATGTTGGTCCTCAAATAGCATGGTCTGTGAATTTGCTCTTCCCTGTGCCTAAACTGTTCTTTCCTGATGCAGGTGGCTCACTCTCACTTTCTTCAGCTTTTACTCATATTCTCAGTGAGCCTTCTCTGACTGTCTTGTCTAGATTTTCAGCCTCTTTCCTACCCCTGTATTTCTTTTTATTTCCCTTCCCTACTTTATTTTTTCTTTAGCATACTATATATTTTATTTATCTTGTTTATCTCTCTCTCCCAATAAAATGTAAGCTCCATGAGAGCAGATTTTCTTCTGTTTTGTTCACTGCTGCGTCCTCGACACCTAAAACAGTGCCTAGAACATGATAGGTACTCAATCAATATTTCAATGACTTCATGAATTAGTTTATTTTGTACCTTCTCTGTGTTAGGACTCCAGGTGTACAAAGCTGCGTAAGACTGTTCTGCTTTTTAGGCTTTTATAGTCTAGAAAGCAAGCTAATGTAAAGTAAAGGTATTTAAAAGACATATAGGGTTTTTTTTCCCCTATGGTTATTATATATATTTCCCCCTATGGTTATTATATATATTTCTTTAATTCCAAATGTAAGACTTTGTGTGACTGCATCTTTTTAATTTACAGAGCATAAACCTTACTAGAGAGATCAAAGAACTCTTCAAGTTTAGTGCAAGTTGAGTAGTCTTTAGGATTTTAGAATATTTGCATATACATAATGAGATATCTTGAGGATGGGACCCAAATCCAAACACTAAATTCATTTATGTTTCATATACACCTTATATACACAGCCTGAAGGTAATTTTATACAACATCTTAAATAATTTTGTGCATGAAACAAGATTTTGACTGAGATCGGTTACATGAGGTCAGGCATGGAATTTTCCACTTGTGGTGTCATGTTAGCACTCAGAAAGTTTCCGATTTTGGAGAATTTCACATTTCAGATTTTTGAATTAGGGATACTCAGCCTGTGTTGGTATTGTGGGGTTGTCAGAGTTAACTGTATTTGAAGACTGGGTGTGGTGGCTCATGCCTGTAATCCTAGTAGTTTGGGAGGCTGAGGCAGGAGGATTGTTGGAGGCCAGGAGTTCAAGACCAACCTGGCCAACATAGCGAGACCCCCATCTCAATTTTTTTAAAAATTATATTTCATATATAACAAGAATTTTAAAAAGAAACCCCACTCAGAATGATATTATAGCAGCTAAATAACAAAAACAGTGTACATAGTATCTTCAAGTTTAATAATTTTTAACTGTCTCACATTTATCCTGAATTTATTAAAAATCTTCCCACTTGTAAATACGTTGTGTAATGATGTCCGATTTCTTATTCCTTATAACCAGAAAATAGTGCTTTAGTCATATCTGAATCTCTTTTATGCAGTTATAACCATTTTGTCTTTTCTGATCTTTGGGAAAAAAACATGGTAACTTCTTTGTCTCAACTTAAATTACATGTATTTATTGTTGTGTGTGAATGTCGATACATAAACACACTACTTTTGTTTTCACATCACTCCCCCTGTTCTCTACTGGGGAGCAGTCATTAGCTCAGTGGTGCCTACTCTCCATTATATTAATTACACATGCTCTCTGCTTTACCTCTCTTCTACTGTGCCTGCCTTTTGGCACCTTAGTCCCTTCACTAGCAGGTGGCCAGGAGAAGGGAGAGCAAGTAATACACGCTAGGAGGTAGTGATCCCTCGTCTAATATGTTACCATGTGGTGTTCTTCAGTACAGACGAGCACTGTGCTTCCCTCAAGCTTTACAGTGACCAGCCAGCCTTTCAGAACTAGTATTTTTATTGTTTGTAAGTTTGATTAGGAAAGGAGAACATTCTTTTGTAAATTTGAATTTCTATTTTGCTTTTTTCCATCAGGAGAAATCCCTCCCTGGTGTAGTGATGGCTCTCGTATGTAACGTATTTGACATGCTTTATCAGCTCGCCAATCTGGAAGAGCCAAGGTAAATATAAATATTTGTGAGGCTTGGCAGAGAGAAAGTTACTAACATTAGGGAGCCAAGTAACTTTTCACTTGAAATGCATTTTATTTTATATTCCATACTAATGGACTTTGTTGAATTAAACTATGGCTTATATGAAAAAATTTGTATTTGAAAAACTTCAGGATAACTCTACGAGTACGGAAGCTTCTGCTCTTGATACCCACTGATCCAGCCATTCAGGAAGCCCTTGATCAACTTGATTCTTTAGGAAGAAAGGTATGAGTATTTTTTAACTAGCATGGCAATTTTATATCACAATTCAGTGAGTGAAAATACAACCTGAAATCACATCAAGGTCATATGATACCATCTTTCCCATAATGTTTTTTCTTCTTTTGAAAAATACCTTCACCAGCCCAGTGCAGTGGCTCACGCCTGTAATTCCAACACTTTGGGAGGCCAAGGTGGGAGGATGGCTTGAGCCCCAGAGTTCAAGACCAGCCTGGGCAATGTAGGGTGACCCCATCTCTACAAATAAAAAAATTAGCTGGTGTGATGGCATGTACCTGTAGTCCCAGCTACTCAGGAGGCTGAGGTAGGAGGATAGCTTGAACCCAAGAGGTCGAGGCTGCAGTGAGCCAAGATTACACACTGCACTCTGGCCTGGGCAACAAAGCAAGACCCTGTCTCAAAAAAAAAAAAAAAAAGAGAGAGAGAGAAATACCTTTGCTATAAATGGAAATCAGAACTTAATGTTGACTTTTAAAGTATTTATATAAAGTCAATAATGACATCAGGTGTCAGAACTGGAAGAGCCTTTAGTACCATCTACCTTTCCACCTCCTCATGTTATATATTAGGAAGCCAAAGCTCAGAGGGATGAAGTTACTTGTCCCAGATCAGACTCTAGTTGTGATTCAGTTGAGACGTTTTTCATTACCCATGATGCCTCTTTGAATCTGATCATTGCGTATGTCTGAGTTGCTAATATAAATGGATTATCATTTAATTTTTTCACAGTTGATATTTAAAGTTCATTTTTGTTAATTGTTAGAATGTTGTTCCTTAAGGGATTTATCCATATATTGAAATTGTGTCGTATCTATAATATTGTTTAATTATGTTCTCAGAATAAATTGATGTAGAAAAAGTTGTTAGAACTATATTTTCTATTTTATAATTTAGTGGTAGAAATTTAGATCAGCTCAGTCATGTCATTTATTGCTTATACACTAATTTAAAGGATAAAACTAATGTAATTATAAAATATATCACTAGTATTAGCTTAACAGATTTTTCAAGCCTACCACTTTAGCAATCTTATAATTTTATTATCAGTATTTAGAGATACAAATTTTAAACACAGAAACTAATTAAAATGACCTTCTCAGGTGTTGCTTAGAATACATGCTCAAAAGCATTCACGTAGTATTTGAATCTTATTGAACATTTAGAATTTGTATGATGAAGTTTGATGTTTTAATAGTTACGGAGTGATGTGGTTTTATGAAGTTAATTTTTAGAAAATAGCATTGGTGTGGCTTATATTAAAGAGGGAAAGAATATTAGGACGTGTACTAAGATCTGTTTCTCTTTAATTTGTCCTTTTAAGTAGTTTATGTCTTTCTCATTCTCTTAAACTTAGAAAACATTGCTGTCTGAATCAAGTTCTCAGTCCTCAAAATCTCCATCCCTGTCATCAAAGCAACAGCACCAGCCAAGTGCCAGTTCAATTTTAGAAAGTCTGTTTCGATCTTTTGCCCCGGGAATGTCTACCTTCAGAGTGCTCTACAACTTAGAAGTAAGAAACCTAATTTCTTTCCATTTCATTTTGACAGGTCTATTTGGATTTATCGATTCATGCTTTCAGATGTCAGAAATAAGTAAATAGGTTTCTGTTATGTGATGATTGGTTGAAAATTAGTTTTAAGAAATAGATTATAAATTGAAACGTTTTTGCCTTTGAATATGCAAAAGATATTTTTATTACTACCTTAGCCCATTTGGGCTGCTATAACAAATCACCATAGACTGGATGGCTTAAACTGCAAGCATTTATTTCTCATAGTTGGAGTGGCTAGGGAGTCCAAGATCAAGGCACCAGCAGATTCGGTGTCTGGTGTGGGCTGGCCTCCTGGTTCATAGATGGCACCGTCTCACTGTGACCTCACTTCCAAAATAGGAATTTTAGGGGAATACAAACACTCAGTTCGTTGTAATTAGCCTCCCCAAAAGAAGCTTTAATACATTTAATTGTTTACTGTCTACAAGTCATGGTGGTGGTTAAGGGAACAGAGTTGAAAAAACAAGTTACTCACTCCAAGATCTTATGAGTAAGACATATGGAAGCTGGATATACTGAGTCTGGATGGCAGAGTGTAAACAAAGCACTATGGGAAAGTGACCAACTGAAATCAGTTCTGCTCTTGGAGAGTAATAGGTCAGACCCTCATACCACTCTTGGTCTGAAGAAAATAAAGCCCTGAATGATTTTGCTTTGTCTTAGGAAGTTATATCCAGGCACTAAAGAATAGAATCCATATCAGTGCCTAAGCAGTCTTAATTATTATATCATGTATCTTAAGTACACAAAAGTCAAAAATTTTAAGAGGGTACCTGCATTTTTTCCAAGTTTCATTTCATGTGACAATCTGATTGGGAGCATATAATTATAGTCCTTCATTTTCCCACTCCACTTGTTGCTTGTATGATGTGATAACTTTTCATACAAGCAATATCTTACTGCTTCAAGGTGTGATGACATTTCATATTTGCCTTAATCATTCCTGTGAAAAGACATGTTGGTCTAAAAAGAAAAAATATTTAGCAAATATTTTAAAAATTAAGTATGTCCTTATTTATATGGACATTTAAAAACATATGCAGTATTCAGCATGGAAACCACGTTTGAGGTTGAGTCATCCTTGTGTTTAAGAATTAACTTTATGAAATGTAGTAGCATTCAGTGTAGTATTAAGTTATAACAACAGCATGGAGTACCAAAGTGCTTTCTATTTAGATTATATTTTACATTTTCGTGCATACTGAGGAGGCTTATTCAAAATGAAAATACTAACTTAATGTTCACCCTGTTTAATAAACAGATGTCAAAAAATAAAATATATGCAGTATTTCCAAAACAGAAAATTGCCTAGGAATTTTTAGCCCATTTAAGCCTAAAGAATTTGCATCTTGTGATTCCTGCCAGATCTGTCATTTGTTTTTGAATGATTATCTCCAAAAAGTTCAAGTGTAATTTTAAACACCTATATTTAATAGAAAAACAGAATGGTCCAACAATGGGTCTAGCTTGTCATCAACTATCTAAATTCCATTATCTTAGAGCCATAGCACTGCAGTGGTAAAATACCTCTGGTATCATTTTAAGACTTCTGAGTAGGTGTGAATTCCTTTGATATTTTTTGTTTTGCTTTAGGTACACAAAATAGTTGGAAACCTAACACTCCCAAAAGCTTTTATTTTGCTGTCAGCTAAAAGGTTAATTTCTTTGCAATTTGTTCATTAACTTTTATTTACCTGCTAGGAAACTTCAAAGTGAATATTTCCTTGTCTTTGAGGAAACCTGTCAGTTCACTAAATTGTTGTCCATTAAGCATGAGGCAGCTGGGGTCAGAGTGTCCATGTAGACGAAGAGCTATATATATTTGAAAGGCTTAGAAGAGCACAGGTTCCTTTTCTCCCATGTAATGCTCATTATCCCAGGTTGGTGGACCTGTTTCTCCAGAGCAACCTAGGAAGAAGGCATCTTTAACAAAATCCCACATTAAGTTCTAAACTCATAAAACTCATGGGTTCATAGAAGCAGATTTTTTAAGACTAGAAAATGATCTTGAACTACATCTAGTTTAAGACTGAGGCAATGAGAGTCTTTATTTTTAAATCATAACTTAATAAGCAGTTGTTTACTGAGTACTTGTTTTGTGCTGATGCTTATACTAAGCACCTTAAAGCTTGTGCTGTAGTATTTAATCCTTCAATCTTCCTGTAAAGGCAACTACTATGTTCACTTAGTGATGAGAAAACTAGGACAAAAGGGAGCATTGTATGCCTAAGGTCTCTCAGCTAGGTAAAACTAGAATGTGAACTAGATTTGTAGTCTTGGCTATAGTATGGTTATTTATGTGAAATTCTGCCCAACCAAAGTATTCAGTTGAACTCCACTTTAGGTGTAGGCATTGCGGTGTCATAGAAGGGCATGAGTGTTAGAATGAGACACATCTGGATTTGAATTCTAACCACGTGACCTTGGGTGGGCAGTCACTTAACCTACTTAACCTTTCAGGTCTCAGTTCCCTCACCTATAAAGTAAAATACATATGCCTGATACATTGTAGATGTTCAATAAATAGGAGTTAGAGTTATTGTTGGGAAACTCATCTTGCATTTTTAATATATGGGCTGTTTTATAAAACTTTGGTGTATATCTTTCTAAAGAATATATCTAGCATATCACATGAAATTATCTGTTCTTATCTAAGCCTGAGGGTCTGAGACTTTCATGTTTGCCAGTTTCATGAAAAGAACACACCAGCTTTCTCTAGAACGGAAAGATTTTTCTTCCAAAGTAAATAGAATAGGGAAAATGTGATTATTTTATCGTGAAACATCAGCTTCTACATATTTCTGGGGGAAAAACAGTGTGCAACATTTAAAGAGATTCTAACTCAAGTTGTCTGAATGTTTTATTTAGTAAAGGAGTAATTTCTGCTGAAAATGTGTGGATGAATAATTGTGCTTATCTGTTCCCTAGGTTCTAAGCTCCAAACTCATGCCAACAGCTGATGATGACATGGCCAGAAGCTGTGCCAAATCCTTCTGTGAAAACTTCCTCAAAGCTGGCGGTTTGAGGTTAGAGTTTCAATGTAATGTTACATGAGTTGCCGAAAATGAATATAGTTATTTTAGTTAATTTCCCCTGCAAAGTCTTGCTTATTCCTACAAGGTATCATATGACTCATTGTGAGAGTTATTATAAGAAGGAATGATGTTTCAGTCCTTTAAAATATTTTAAATCATTTTATAACTTCTGATTATTTGAAAAACGTATGGAAGCATGTCTCTTTCCCCTCTGGTAGTGGGGGAAATTTTCAAGAAGAGTAGAAGCCAGGAGGCTGTATCTGTTTCTTTTGTGTCTCATGTCAGTTTGAAATAAGGTGAATTTTATCGCTGTAAATCCATATTGTGCAAGGTATTAGTGCTGGGGATGCAAAGATAAATTAGATATTATCTCTGCCTTTGAGAGGCAGCTGATGGTTTAACAAAGAATAACAAACAGCTAGGTAACTATATTATAAGTATTAAAACAGGGCAGGCATGGTGGTTCATGCCTGTAATCCCAACACTTTCAGGGGCTGAGGCAGGAGGATTGCTTGAGCCCAAGAGTTTGAGATCGTACGGGGCGACATAGTGAGACCTCATGTCTACTAAAAATAAAAATAAAAAAATAGTTGAGTGTGATGACATGCACTTGTAGTCCTAACTACTTGGGACACTGAGGTGGGAGGATCACTTGAGCCCGGGAGGTGGAAGTTGCAGTGAGCAGTAATAGCACCAGTGCACTCCACCCTGGCAACGGAACAAGATCCTGTCTCAAAAAAAAAAAAAAAAAAAAGGTATTAAAGCAGAGGCATATATAAAAAGTACTTGTGAGGAGGAGGGGTGAGAAAGTAGTGGTTACATTGGTTGAATTTGCTTAGGGTCATAAGGTTAGGAAATTATTCACAGAAAATGACTGTTGAGCTAGGAATTGGGAAATTATTTACCTAGAAATCCTCTAGGTAAATAAGGAGGGAAGGGGCACTCCAAGCTGGAATGGAAGGAAGGGTGAGTGAGAGCATGAAGACGCATCGCCTGTCTTGGGAACCTCAGTTGCCTGGTGTTCAAGCAAAGGATGAAGGAGAGAAACATGTCAAGAAGGGTCTCATTGGGGAATACGAGTGTTGTCTTGTAGTCCATGAAAAAACAGGCAGTTACTAAGCCGAGAATTACCTGAAACAATTACTCTGGCAGCAGTGAAGAGGATGAAGGGAAGTGGGAGAGACTGGAGGAAGGGTAGACTGAGAGCTGACAGTATCCAGAGAGGAGATGAAGGGCAGTGACAGAATGACATTTATGACTAGGTAGAGGGTGGGGACATTTATAAAATGGCCCTGTGGTTTCTAGCTTGGTAGAGTGGGGAAATGGTGAGTCATTAGTCAGTATGAGAAATAAACACAGAGAGATGGAACGAACAAAGGAAAGCAAGAGAAATAAGTTTGTTTGTATACAAGGTCCTTCTGAGTCATGTGAAGTAGATGGTATGGATTGGATAGGGTGCTTGTTAGAAAAGTGGAGAATGGCATGAGAGATTTGGGAGCGTGTGAGTAAAACCATGAGGACATAATCCAGCTGTCAGAGCTGAGTGGCAAGTGTAAGGCAGGAAGGTAGCGTCAGGGCATAGAGATCTCTCCTTTCAGATGAGTAAGAAAAAAGGGGTGATAGTAAATTGAAGACAGAAATAACTGAGGGTGGTCATCAGAGAAATGCAAATCAAAACCACAATGAGATACCATCTAACACCAGTTAGAATGGCAATTATTAAAAAGTCAGGAAACAACAGGTGCTGGAGAGGATGTGGAGAAATAGGAACACTTTTACACTGTTGGTGGGACTGTAAACTAGTTCAACCACTGTGGAAATCAGTGTGACGATTCCTCAGGGATCTAGAACTAGAAATACCATTTGACCCAGCCATCCCTTTACTGGGTATATACCCAAAGGACTATAAATCATGCTGCTATAAAGACACATGCACACGTATGTTTATTGCGGCACTATTCACAATAGCAAAGACTTGGAACCAATCCAAATGTCCAACAATGATAGACTGGATTAAGAAAATGTGGCACATATACACCATGGAATACTCTGCAGCCATAAAAAAGGATGAGTTCATGTCCTTTGTAGGGACATGGATGAAATTGGAAATCATCATTCTCAGTAAACTATTGCAAGGACAAAAAACCAAACACCGCATGTTCTCACCCATAGGTGGGAATTGAACAATGAGAACACATGGACACAGGAAGGGGAACATCACACTCTGGGGACTGTTGTGGGGTTGGGGGAGTGGGGAGGGATAGCATTAGGAGATATACCTAATGCTAAATGATGAGTTAATGGGTGCAGCACACCAGCATGGCACATATATACATATGTAACTAACCTGCACATTGTGCACATATACCCTAAAACTTAAAGTATAATAATTTAGAAAAAAAACTGAGGGGGAAGTTGGCTTTTCTGTTTTGATTTTAGCTTGTGGAAGACTCTTCATAGGTTAACTAAAAGGGACCAATGAAGGAGAAAAGAATAAAGATAAAAGAAAAATGGGTAAATGATGGGGTCAACTTGTACTGCAGTTGGAAGCAGCTTTTCTCTAGAAAGAAGTAGGCATACCATTTCCTCTGGGTGAGGTAGGCATGGACACCAGCTCAAAGCATGAGCAGAGGATGGTTGAAGGAATTCCTGAGGGGAGGTCTGGCACAGAGAAGCTGGGTAGGGACCTTGAGGAGGTCGAGGGGATGGGAAATAGGGAAATGATGGCAAAAAGGATTCCCAAGTACCGTAGAAGGTGTGGCACACATGTGTAGCTTTATTCTGTGTTCCACACTGTAGAGGTGTTTTTAGTACAAACTCCTTTCACATCACTCAGCCATTTACAGGGCTGTCAAAATAAAGACATTGAACATTTGGCTTATTTGTGTATGTCATTTAATTCATGTACCAGATATTGTTCTTAAGCAATGAGAACAGAGCAGTGAGTAGATTAGACCAAAATCCACATCCTCATGAAGCTTACAGTCTAGAGGGGGAGACAATTAACATAAGTAAAAGTATGTGTCAGATGGTGAGGAGAGCTGTAGAGAAAAATAAAGAAGGAAGCAGGGATTCGGGGGCTATGATTTTCAGTAGGGTGATCAGGAAAAGCTTCGCTGGGGTG
Source organism: Homo sapiens (assembly GCF_000001405.40). Classification (NCBI taxonomy): domain Eukaryota; kingdom Metazoa; phylum Chordata; class Mammalia; order Primates; family Hominidae; genus Homo; species Homo sapiens. The sequence continues at coordinate 55,126,343 of NC_000001.11, read as the reverse complement.
ACATCTAGCAAAGACCTGAAGGAGATAAGGGAGCGAGACCCAGGAGAAAGCTTTTCAGAGGAGCAGCCAGCGCACACCCATGCGTGGGGACCTGCCTGGTGCCGGCAGAGGCCACAGGAGGCCAGTGTGGTTGGGGCACCGTGAATGAGGCAGTGTTTCCCATTCTCAAATGAGACAGAGGTCTGGGACATGACATTGCAGAGATACCAGAGGTCAAGTTATGAAGGGTCTTACAGGCTACTGTGAAGACTCTGCTGTTTTTCAGCATAGGAAATAGGAAACCATTGAAGGATTTTGTGCAGAGGAGTGCCATGATCTGAGTTAAATTTTCTAAGGATCACCCTGATGGGTCTTTTGAAAATAGGTTTGGAAGGTGGAGAGTCAAGAGCAGAAGCAGGGAGAATAGTTAGGAAGCTTATAGGTATCATAGGAAATTATTATGATAGATATATGTAGGCTCTTTTTATGACAGAATCATGTAGAAACTAAGTAATTGATGATGACTGATTACATTACTTATGGAAAATTTAAAATGAAAAAAAATAGAAGTCTTTAATATCCTGCCTTTTTTTCTTCTTTTTGAAGTTTGGTTGTAAATGTCATGCAGAGAGACTCCATCCCATCAGAAGTAGACTATGAAACAAGGCAGGGTGTTTATTCCATCTGTCTACAGCTTGCAAGGTATGTAAATATATTGCATTAGTCTTACCAGGCAATACTTGACTTTTTCTTCGCAAATCATGTTTTTAAATAGTATGAATGGACTCAGAATAAGTCTAGCTGTTTCTTTTTAAGATTTTTACTTGTCGGACAAACAATGCCCACGTTATTAGATGAAGACCTCACCAAAGATGGTATAGAAGCACTTTCTTCCCGCCCATTCCGAAATGTCAGCCGGCAGACAAGCAGACAGATGTCCTTATGTGGTACCCCAGAAAAGTCATCCTACCGACAGTTGTCCGTGTCTGATAGGTCTTCTATTAGGGTTGAGGAAATCATCCCTGCTGCTCGAGTTGCAATACAAGTAAGTGATTTGTGTATTCAAGACATTTTAGTCCCTCTTATTCAGAATGTCCTGTTTAGGAAGAGGTGCTATGGGGATATAAAAATGATTAAGACATGAATATTGCCTTCAAGAAATTTATGGTGACTTAAAAAGAGATCGCTAGGGTAGAAATAACTATAATTCCAGGTAGAAAGTATCAAGTGTTGTAAAACTACAAGACAAAGCATTCTGTGTGTCTTCAAAGGAGGCAGAATAATTTCCTTCACCTGTGGCTGTGATGGGTGATTTTATGTTATAGATGGCATTTGAGCTAGGCCTTGAAGAACAGATGAGGATTAGATATACAGAGATAAGTACTTAGAAAGTTGGAGAAAGGAGACTTGTTCAAGCAAAAGGGAGCACATGTGCAAACTAGAGACAATACCAGAGCTTATGGGAGGTCATGAGGTCATAGTATGTGGGAAAGGGGGAAAGTGAAAAAATTGGTAAAGCGTATTTTGAAGCCACAGCATGAAGATCAATCTGTTTTACAGATAAAAAAGAGAGATTGAAAGCCCTTGAGCAGGATGGCAGCTTGAGAAAGGCCATCTTTCTGGATGACCTTGGAGGGAAAGGAGGCGTATGAAACTGAGACCTGTAAGAAGGTTGTACATGTCAGGGCATGTGTTCAAGTATTGCTCTTTCTCATAATACTTGTTCCATTCTTTAGACAATGGAAGTAAGTGATTTCACTTCTACTGTGGCTTGCTTCATGAGATTGTCATGGGCTGCGGCTGCAGGACGGCTTGATCTTGTTGGGAGTAGCCAGCCAATTAAAGAAAGTAATTCCCTGTGTCCTGCTGGAATTCGAAACAGACTCAGCAGTTCAGGTACTGATTAAAAAGAGACAGTAATGAGAACACTGGGTAAGAAATAACCATAAGAATTCTGTGTGTAGGTTTGCCAGAGTCACAAAAATGGGAGACCCTCTTCTCTTGCTTGTGAGCATGAGTAAAAATTCATCAAGCTCTGTATACACTTAGTATTTATGTATGTTCCTATATGTATGTCATATTTCACTTAAGAAGAAAAATATTTATAAACACATAGAGTAAGTGAAGAAACCAAATCAACAGTTTTTAGCTTAGCTGAGTATAAAAGTGTCATGAAACCAATCATTGTGGCAATAATACAAATTCATTTAGAATTCAGTCCTGGAAAACAGTTCTTTTCTTGGTTTGCCAGGTTATTTTTCATTAGGCCTCTTTAAAATATAGCTTTATTTCCCAGCTTTATTTGGTCTTCCTGCTCAATCTCTATTTTAGAAATACCTCAATAATAAAGGAAGTTTTTAAAATTTTGACATATATACAGTAAAGTGCAGACAGTAAAGTGTATGAGATTTTTAGGATTTTTGTATGCATATGACCCATCTACATCAAGTTACAAGGTAGAAAACATTTCCGATATCCTCTGGAGGGCTCCCTCATGCCCACAAAATTGCGCTATTTTCACTTCTATCGCCTGAAATTAGTTTTGCCTTGTGAACACATTTTGATTGCCTGCAAATGTGTTTTAAAGAAAAAGTAGTGAGAGTGTTTCAAATACAGTATTAAATCTCTCTTGCTTCTTGGACCTAAGTGCTTTCTTGAAGTATTTAATGTCACATGAGGATTCTGGAACATATAGTAAAAAGATTAAAATATTGCATAGTTCCTGTAGGATCCACAGTAAATTTCTGCTTACCTGTTTTCAGGAAGCAATTGCAGCTCTGGAAGTGAAGGAGAACCAGTAGCCCTGCATGCGGGAATCTGTGTTCGACAACAGTCTGTATCCACCAAAGACTCGCTGATTGCGGGAGAGGCTTTGTCTCTTCTTGTTACGTGCCTACAGCTTCGGAGCCAGCAACTGGGTATGCTGGAGGCTTGTTTGTGATTAATCTCTTTCAGGGAAAGGCCAAGTTTCTGTTGGGAATTCTTTACATTTCTTCCTAGATAAGGTCCCATTGGTCAAAATGAAAAAGGCGGGAAGTTGGCATGTGGCGTAGCTAAGAATAATGCTAAAATAGCTCATTCTGAAGAAATATTTATTGAGCACCTTCTGTATATGAGGTTCCGCAGTTGCTGTCACCAGAGCAGTATGTCTGCACACCACGAGCTTGCTGTCTAGTTGAGGAATTCAAAGAGCCCAAATTTACTAGTTCATAAATTACAGAATTAGAATTGTATATCAATTCCTGATAATGACTCTAGTATTAAAAATTGTGTAACTTAAGATTTGCTCTTTCATCTTTATTGTTGGCTTTGGTGAACGGGGACCATTACTAATCATTCTCTAACATGAGAGCACCCCAGGGCTCAGGTCCTATCATCTCTTCTCTATCTCCATTCATTCCCTTGGTGATCTCGTGCAGTTTCACAGTTTTAAATTCCATCTATATGTTGACAACACCTAAATTTGGGTCTATGGCCTGTACCACTGTCCTGATGTCTCCAGTTGGATATCAAATAGACATCCCAAACTTCTCATTTCCAGAACTGAGCTCCTCTAATCCTGCCCATATCATCCTAGAGTTTTCTCAACTTAAAAGCAGTTCTATTCTTCCGGTTGCTCTGGCCAAAAACCTTGGCTTCATCTTTGATATCTTTTTTTCACCCCCTACTTCTAATCTGTCAGCATATCCCCCTTCAAGCCCTCTCTAGATTCTACCCCTTAACACCCCTTTCACTGTTGGTCCCTCCAAGCTGCCATTGCTTCCTACTTGGACTATAGCAAGAGTGCCCTAACTCATCTTCTTGCTTCTGCCTTGCAGTTTATTCTCTACTCAGCAACCAGGGTGGACCTTCTAAATTTTAAGTCAGAATACATCACTCCTCTTTGAAAGCCTTCCGGTGGCTTCTCAGTTCACCAAGCAAAAGCCAAATCTTTACAAGGGGGTGGACACTGTGTACCACTTGATACTCCTGTGCCTTTGCTTCTACTCTTCCCTTTACTCACTGTGCTTCGGCCACCCTGGGCTCCTTGCTGTTCCCCCAGCAGCCAGCATACATTCCTTCCCTTGCACTGGCTGTTTGTTCCCTCTTTCCAGTATGCTTACTGAAACATTCCCCAACCACCTATAAAAAAATTACAGTGCTCTTCTTGCCCCTGCACTGCCCAGACTCCTTACCTTATTTTTTTCCTGTAACATTTATCATTTTATAACTTGCAAAATAATCTACTTATTTATTGTGTTTATTGTCATTATCTCCTCCCCAACTAGATTGAAAGCTCCATGAGGACAGAGACTTTTATTCATTTTGTTCCCTGATGAATCTCCAGCCCCCAAACACTGTCTGATGTGTAGTAGATTCTCAATAAATAAATATTCAGAAATGAAGTTTTAGCAACTCCACTTTTAAAAAGTGTACTAATCCTACCCTTAGCTGTTTGATTTCGTTTAATTTTCCTAGAATTGTTTAACTTAGAGATATTTTCAAATCAAGATGAAAAAATGATAACTTCCCTCCAAGCTTTTATCTGTTATCATTTGTAAGTTTATTTTAAGGTATATTTTATAGTTTGCAACTATTGATAGTTTATCAAGGCAAGACATTTATTCTGTAACTGGTATGTGCAAGGCATTGTGATAAAATATAGAGCACAAAAATAAGACATGGTTTCTTCTCTTGAACAACTTAGAATTTTATGGGGTAAATGGACAGGCATGAAAGCAATTGTAAAAGGTCCTGAATTATTGTATGTAAAAGAGAAGAGCTTATGCTTAAGTTGAGCTTAAGAAATTAATCAAAATTTGAAAATGCATTACCTAACTTGTTTCACACACCCACATCCCCCATTTCTTCTTATTAGCATCTTTCTATAACTTGCCCTGTGTTGCTGATTTCATCATTGATATTCTGCTCGGATCACCAAGTGCTGAGGTAAGGATTTTTCACATTACTTACAAAACTCCTTTGGTCCTGTTGTTTTGTGAGCTGTCTCAACTACCTGTGACATTGTCGGGAATACAGGAGTGGCATTGAGTGCTCTCAGGGAGTGTACGAAGGGGCTGCAGACCATGAAAGAAAAGTAACCATTTGGACTCTACTGCCTTTCCTTCTACTACCTCCTCCATATGCCACCAAAAGTTATGAGACTAATGTTAGTAAGTTATTTTTGTTTATAACAACGTTACAACCAGTGTCTGATATCCATAGCTCACAAGGGCAGCTGGCACTAAGCATCCACGTTGTTGGTCAGAATCAGGAAAGATCAACCTCAACCCATAAACTTTCATTAGATATTATAGTTCTGACATTCTTACATGACCTTGAGGATTAACTTAAACTTTCTTTTTTCTTATTTTCATTTACATTAAGTTATAAACCTATTGAGTAGAGTAGAATAGTAGAATAATTTGGGAAATCAGTTCCCAAACCGCAGTGGGTTTTAATTAGCCATTAAAACCTTACCATTAAAATCTGAAACACTCATACCTTTCTAGTATCCTTCAATAACTTGATTGACTAAATAGGCTGGACTTTGGAAGAAAATCACTTTTTAAGCAGTCTCAACATGTTGATTCATGTCTGTCCTTTGCTGCTGATCATGTAATTTCAGATTCGCCGGGTTGCCTGTGATCAGCTGTACACTCTTAGTCAGACAGACACATCAGCGCATCCAGATGTGCAGAAGCCAAATCAGTTTCTTCTAGGCGTAATCCTCACGGCTCAGCTGCCTCTCTGGTCTCCAACTAGTATTATGAGAGGAGTCAATCAGAGGTAGGTAATAAAAATGGAAAAGCTAACCTTATACAGAGAGAGGATAAATGATAATTTGTGTGCTGCTCCCCTGAAGTCCACAGTGCATTATTGAGATGACTAGAATTTCTTTCTTCTTCTGAAATTTGGGTCCTGAAAGATGGCATTTGGATAGGAGAGTTAGAAGAAACACTACCAGGCCTTCTTCTCCATGTCCTCAGTTCTCACTTCACCCCATGTGATTCATCTACCCCAGAGAGAAAAAGGAGCTCACCTGATTGGTGAGAGCCTGGAATTATTGGAGCCCGGTCACTGTGTAAAGGTTATACTGATCCTCTCCCCTTGTGCATCACTTTTTCAGTGCAGATATCTTGTAGCTCCGTGTCTAGAGGTAGCCAAGGTATCCTCCTAGCTTGCCTTCTTGGTTTTATACATGCTTCAGTATGTAAGAGAGCTTGTAGTCCAAACTCATGAGATGACTATTCTGCCTGCCCCATCTTACCTCAACAAGTGAGCCTGCATGCATGTGCTCCTCAGTCTAGTCCCAGGATAGGAGGTAGGGGTCTCACATTGACCTCAAGTTCATATGACTTTTTCTAACTCACCTTCACCACACAGCCCCTACTGTGGGGCTTATAAAGTGTCATGGAGATTTGTGAAGTCAATGTTTCCTTTCCTTGTTTATGTGCTTTATAAATTAGGTCCCTCTCCAAAACTTTTGCATCATCCTAAACTGAAACACTATGCCCATGAAGAAGTCATTAAATAAAAGACTGATAAATTTGACTCCATAAAAATTAAAATTTTCTATATAGGAAAAAATGCCTCAAAGTCAAAAGTCAATCACCAAACTGGGAAAATAAAATCTGCAACATACATGACAGACAATAAGCTAATTTGAGATATATATATCTATATATATAACTATTATAAATTATTAAGCAAAAGACCAACAGCCAAGTTAAAAAGGGGCAATGAATGTAAACAGACTGTTCAAAGACACGTAGATTTTTTTTGAATTGCCAAATTTTTTTTATTGTGGTAAATATACATAACATAAAATTTACCATGAGGTATACAATTCCGCGACATTAAGTATGCACACATTGTGATGCAACCATCACAACTGTCTATTTCCAAAACTCTTTTGCCATCCTAAACTGAAACTCTACTCATTGAACAATAACTCCCTGTTCCCCCTCCCCCATCCCACGGCAACCACCATTCTACTTTCTGTCTCTAAGGATTTGACGACTCTAGGTACCTCATATAAGTGGAATCATACAGTATTTGTCCTTATATGTCTGGCTTATTTCACTTAGCATAATGTCCTTAAGGTTTATTCATGTTGTAGCATGAATCAGAATTTCCTTCCTTTTTAGGGCTGAATTATATATCATTGTATGTATAAACCATATTTGTATATCCATTCATCCATAGATGAACATTTGGGTGTTTCCACCTTTTGGCCGTTGTGAATGCAGCTACAAACATGGGTATGCAAATATCTGTGTGAATCCCTGTTTTCAGTTCTTTAGGGTGTATACCCAGAAGTGGAATTGCTAGATCATTTAGTAATTCTGTGTTTGATTTCTTTGTGGAACCACCATACTGTTTTCCACAATGGCTGTACCATTTTACTTCCCCACCAGCAATGTACAAGGATTCTCATTTCTCCACATCTTAGCCAACGCTTGTTGTTTTCTAGGATTTTTGTTTTTGTTTCGTTTTGTTTTTGATAGTAGCTATCCCAGTGCATGTGAATTGGCATCTGTGGTTTCAGTTTGCATTTCCTTGATGACTGATGTTGAGCGTCTCATCATGTGCATGTTGGCCATTCGTATATCTTCTTTGGAGAAACATCTATTTTAAGACCTTTGCTCATTTTTAAATTGGATTATTTGTTGTGGAATTCTTTATATATCCTGAATATTGATCCCTTATCAGATGATATGATATGCAGATATTTTCTCCCAATCTGTGGGTTGTCTTTTAGCTCTCTTGATGGTGTCCTGTGTATGTATTTTCTCTTTAGTTACCTGTGTTTTTTGCTGTCATAGCCAGGAAATTATGGCCAAATCCTGTGTCACAAAGTTTTCCCTGTTTTCTTCTAAAGGTTTTATAGTTTTAGTTCTTACATTTAGGTGTTTCATCCATTTTGAGTTTAGTTTTGCATTATGGTGTAAGGTAAGGGTCTGACTTCGTTTTTCTCCATGTGAATATCCAGTTTTCCCAGTGCCCCTTTTTAAAAATACTATCCTTTCCCCATTGAATGGTTTTGGTGCCCTTGATGAAAATCAGGACCATATTTTTGAGTTCTATATTTCTATTGCATTGGTCTGTATGTCTGTCTTTTTACCAGTATAAGACTGTTTTGATTACTGTAGTATTGTACTAAGCTTAAAATCAGGAAGTATGAGTCTTTCAGCCTTATTCCTCTTTTTCAGGATTGATTTGGCTACTTGGAGAGTCCATGTGAATTTTAGAATGGGTTTTTCTATTTTTGCAAATGTCTTTGGGATTTTCATAGAGATTTCATTGAACCTGTAGGTGACTTTGAATAGTAATGACATCTTAACAAGATTTTGTCTTTCAATCCTTGAACACAAGATGTCTTTTTATTATGTCATCTTTAATTTCTTTCAGCAATGTTTGTAGATTTCACTGTACAAGTCTTTTGTTTCCTTAAGTTGGTTCCTAAGTATTTTATTATTTTTGATGCTATTGTAAGTGGAATTGTTGATTTCTTTTTCAGTTTGATCATTGTTAGTGTAAGAAACACAACTGATTTTTGTGTTGATTCTGTATGCTGCAACTTTGCTGAATTTATTTATTAGTTCTAACAGTTTCTTTTTTTTTTTTTTTTTTTTTTTTGAGACGGAGTCTCGCTCTGTCGCCCAGGCCGGACTGCGGACTGCAGTGGCGCAATCTCGGCTCACTGCAAGCTCCGCTTCCCGGCTTCCCGGGTTCACGCCATTCTCCTGCCTCAGCCTCCCGAGTAGCTGGGACTACAGGCGCCCGCCACCGCGCCCGGCTAATTTTTTGTATTTTTAGTAGAGACGGGGTTTCACCTTGTTAGCCAGGATGGTCTCGATCTCCTGACCTCATGATCCACCCGCCTCGGCCTCCCAAAGTGCTGGGATTACAGGCGTGAGCCACCGCGCCCGGCCACAGTTTCTTTTGCAGAAACTTTAGGGCTTTCCATATATAGTAACATGTCATCTGTTAACAGATAATTTTACTCCCTTTTCAATTTGGATGTCTTTTAGTTCTTTTTCTTGCCTAATTGCTCTGGCTGAAACCTTCAATACTACGTTGAATAGAAGTGGTAAAAGTGGGCATCCTTGTTTCTGCTCTTAGGATAAAAGCTTTCAGTCATTCAGCATTGAGTATGTTAGCTGTGAGTTTTTCATATCTGGCTTTATTATGTTGAGGTAGTTTCCTTCTATTTGTAGTTTGTTAAGTGTTTTTATCATGAAAGTGAGTTAAATTTTATCAAATGCTTTTTCTGCTTTGATTGAGATAATCATGTGGGTCTTTTTCTTTCTTTCCCTTAATATGAGATTACATAGATTTTCGTACCATGGACCATACTTGAATTCCAGGAGTCAATCCCACTTGTTCATGGGGTGTAATCCTTTAAATGCACTCCTTTGGTTTGATAGTATTTTGTTGAAGATTTTTGCATTAGCATTCATAAGGGATATTGGTCTGTAGTTTTCTTGTGGTGTCTTTTTCTGGCTTTTGTATCAGGGTAATACTGGTGTCATAGAATAAGTCAGGAAGTATTACCTCCTCTTCAGTTTTTTGAAAGAGCTTGAGAAGACTTGGTGGTAATTCTTTAAATATTGGTAGAATTCACCAGTGAAGCCATCTGGTCCAGGGCTTTTCTTTGTTGGGAGTTTGTTTTTCTTTTCTTTTCTTTTTTTTTTTTTGGATTACCAATTCAGTCTCTTTGCTGAATCTCTTTGCTAAATAGATTTATTTACCTTTTCTGTTTCTTCCTGATTCAATCGTGGTAGGTTTTGTGTTGCTAGGAATTTGTCTACTTCATCTAGGTTAATTTGTTGGCATATAGTTGCTTACGGTACTCTCTTATATCCTTTCCATTTCTGTAAAATTGGTAGTTATGTACCCACTTTCATTTCTGAGTTTAGTAATTTGATCCTTCTCCCTTTTTTGTGTTAGTCTACCTAAAGGTTTGTTGGTTTTGTTCATCTTTTCATTCAAAGAGGCAACTTTTGGTTTCATTGATTTTTTTTTTTCTTTTTGGTATTGTTTTGCCATTCTTTATTTTATTTATTTCCACTCTAATCTTTGTTATTTCTTTCCTTTTACTACCTTTAAGTTTGGTTTGTTCTTCTTTTTCTAGTTCCTTAGGTGTAAAGTTAGGTTGTCAATTGAATCCTTTTCTTGTTTTTAATGTAAGCATTTATTTATTTATTTTTAATTATACTTTAAGTTCTGGGATACACGTGCAGAACGTGCAGGTTTGTTACATAGGTATACACGTGCCATAGTGGTTTGCTGCATCCATCAACCCGTCATCTACATTAGGTATTTCTCTTAATGCTATCCCTCCCCTAGCCTGCCCACCCCCCGACAGGTTCTGGTGTGTGGTGTTCCCCTCCCTGTGTCCATGTGTTCTCATTATTCAACTCCCACTTATGAGTGAGAACATGCAGTGCTTGGTTTTCTGTTCTTGTGTTAGTTTGCTGAGAATGATGATTTCCAGCTTCATCTGTGTCCCTGCAAAGGGTATGAACTCATCCTTTTCTATGGCCACATAGTATTCCATGGTGTATATGTGCTACATTTTCTTTATCCAGTCTATCATTGATGGGCATTTGGGTTGGTTCCAAGTCTTTGCTATTGTGAACAGTGCCACAATAAACATACCCATGCATGTGTCTTTATAGTAGAATGATTTACAATCCTTTGGGTATATATCCAGTGATGGGATTGCTGGGTCAAATGGTATTTCTGGTTCTAGATCCTTAAGGAATTGCCACACTGTCTCCACAATGATTGAACTAATTTACACTCCCACCAACAGTGTAAAAGTGTTTCACCATATCCTCTCCAGCATCTGTTGTTTCCTTTTTTTTTTTTTTTTTTTTTGAGGCGGAGTCTCGCTCTGTCGCCCAGGCTGGAGTGCAGTGGCGGGATCTCGGCTCACTGCAAGCTCCGCCTCCCAGGTTCATGCCATTCTCCTGCCTCAGCCTCCCAGGTAGCTGGGACTACAGGCGCCCGCCACTACGCCCGGCTAATTTTTTGTATTTTTAGTAGAGACGGGGTTTCACCGTTTTAGACCTCGTGATTCGCCCGCCTCGGCCTCCCAAAGTGCTGGGATTACAGGCGTGAGCCACCGCGCCCGGCCTTGTTTCCTTTTTAATGATCGCCATTCTATGTAAGATACCATGTAAGATGGTATCTCATTGCGGTTTTGATTTGCATTTCTCTGCAGTGATCATGAGCTTTTTTTCATGTTTCTTGACCACATAAATGTCTTCTTTTGAGAAGTCTGTTCATATCCTTTGCCCATTTTTCGATGGAGTTGTTTTTTTCTTGTAAGTTTGTTTAAGTTCTTTTTAGAATCTGGATATTAGCCCTTTGTCAGATGGATAGATTGCAAAAATTTTCTCCCATTCTATAGGTTGCCTGTTCACTCTGATGATAGTTTCTTTTGCTGTGCAGAAGCTCTTTCATTTAATTATATCCCATTTGTCAATTTCGGGATATAATTGCCATTGCTTTTGGTGTTTTAGTCATGAAGTCCTTGCCCATGCCTATGTCCTGAATGATATCGCCTAGGTTTTCTTGTAGGGTTTTTATGGTTTTAGGTCTTACGTTTAAGTCTTTAATCCATCTTGAGTTAATTTTTGTATAAAGTGTAAGGAAGGGGTCCAGTTTCAGTTTTCAGCATATAGCTAGACAGTTTTCCCAAAAACATTTATTAAATAGGGAATCCTTTCCCCATTGCTTGTTTTTGTCAGGTGTGTCAAAGATCAGATAGTTGTAGTAGATGTGTGGCATTATTTCTGAGGCTTCTGTTCTGTTCCATTGGTCTGTATATCTGTTTTGGTACAGTACCATGCTGTTTTGGTACTGTAGCCTTGTAGTATAGTTTGAAGTCAGGTAGCATGATGCCTCCAGCTTTGTTCTTTTTGCTTAGGATTGTCTTGGCTATACAGGTTCTGTTTTGGTTCCATATGAAATTTAAAGTAGTTTTCTCTAATTCTGTGAAGAAAGTCAGTGGTAGCTTGATGGGGATAGCGTTGAATCTATAAATTACTTTGGGCAGCGTGGCCATTTTCACAACATTGATTCTTCCTGGGCACGAGCATGGAATGTTTTTCCATTTGTTTGTGTCCTCTCTTATTTCCTTGAGCAGTGGTTTGTAGTTCTCCTTGAAGAAGTCCTCCACATGCCTTGTAAGTTGTATTCCTAGGTATTTTTTTCTCTTTGTAGTAATTGTGAATGGGAGTTCACTCATGATTTGTCTATTATTCGTGTATAGGAATGTTTGTGATTTTGCACATTGATTTTGTATCCTGAGACTTTGCTGAAGTTGCTTAAGGAGATTTTGGCCTGAGAGAAGATGGGGTTTTCTAAATATACAATCATGTCATCTGCAAACAGAGACAGTTTGACTTCCTGTCTTCCTATCTGAATACCCTTTATTTCTTTCTCTTGCCTGATTGCCCTGGCCAGAACTTCCAATACTATGTTAAATAAGAGTGATGAGAGAGGTCATCCTTGTCTTGTGCCAATTTTCAAAGGGAATGCTTCCAGCTTTTGCCCATTCAGTATGATATTGGCTGTGGGTTTGTCATAAATAGCTCTTATTATTTTGAGATACGTTCCATCAATACCTAGTTTATTGCATATGTTGAACCAGCCTTGCATCCCAGGGATGAAGCCAACTTGATCGTGGTGGATAGCTTTTTGATGTGCTGCTGGAATCAGTTTGCCAATATTTCGTTGAGGATTTTCGCATCGATGTCATCAGGGATATTGGCCCGAAATTTTCTTTTTTTGTTGTGTCTCTGCCAGGTTTTGGTATCAGGAAGATGCTGTCCTCATAAAATGAGTTAGGGAGGTGTCCCTCTTTTTCTGTTGCTTGGAATAGTTTCAGAAGGAATGGTACCAGCTCCTCTTTGTACCTCTGGTAGAATTCAGCTGTGAATCCATCTGGTCCTGGGCCTTTTTTGGTTGGTAGGCTATTAATTACTGCCTCCATTTCAGAACTTGTTATTGGTCTATTCAGGGATTCGACTTCTTCTTGGTTTAGTCTTGGGAGGGTGTGTGTGTCTGGGAATTTATCCATTTCTTACAGATTTTCTAGTTTGTTTGTGTAGAGGTGTTTATAGTATTCTCTGTTGGTAGTTTTTGTTTCTGTGGGATCAGTGGTGATGTATTCTTTATCATTTTTTATTCTATTTGATTCTTCTCTCTTTTCTTCTTTATTAATCTGGCTAGCCGTCTAGGAATTTTTCCCAAGCAAATGGAAAGCAAAAAAAAGCAGGGGTTGCAATCCTAGTCTCTGATAAACAGACTTTAAACCAACAAAGGTCAAAAAAAGACAAAGAAGGGCATTACACAATGGTAAAGATATCAATGCAACAAAAAGAGCTAACTATCCTAAATATATATGCACCAAATACAGGAGCACCCAGATTCATAAAGCAAGTTCTTAGAGACCTACAAAGAGACTTCGACTCCCACACAATAATAGTGGGAGACTTTAACACTCCGCTGTCAATATTAGACAGATCAATGAGACAGCAAATTAATAAGGATATTCAGGACTTGAACTCAGCTCTGGACCAAGCAGACCTAATAGACATCTACAGAACTCTCCACCCCAAATCAACAGAATATACATTCTTTTCAACACCACATTGCACTTACTCTAAAATTGACCACATAATTGGAAGTAAAACACTCCTCAGCAAAAGAATGGAAGTCATAACAATCTCTCAGACCGCAGTGCAATCAAATTAGAACTCAGGATTAAGAAATTCACTCAAAATCGCACAACTACATGGAAACTGAACAACCTGCTCCTGAATGACTACTGGGTAAATAATGAAATTAAGGCAGAAATAAATAAGTTATTTGAAACCAATGAGAACAAAGACACAACGTACCAGAATCTCTGGGACACAGCTAAAGCAATGTTTAGAGGCAAATTTATAGCACTAAATGCCCACAGGAGAAAGCAGGAAAGATCTACAATTGACACCCTAACATCACAATTAAAAGAACTAGAGAAGCAAGAGCAAACAAATTCAAAAGCTAGCAGAAGGCAAAAAATAACTAAGATCAGAGCAGAACTGAAGAAGATAGAGACACGAAGAACCCTTCAAAAAATCAGTGAATCGAGGAGCTGGTTTTTTGAAAAGATTAACAAAATAAATGTAAGCATTTATAGCTATAAATTTCCATCTCATAACACTTCTTTTGATATTTCCCATAATTTTTGGCAAGTTGTATTTTTGTTTTCATTTGTCTTAATATATTTTCTAATTTTCCCTCTGGTTTCTTTGATCCATTCTTGACTTTTTTTAATACCTCTGTTTTAGATATAATATGTATAATCTACAGAATTTCTCAAATATAGTTATAATTTTATCTGTTGTTTGCAAGTCTTTATTACAGGATTAATTGTGTGTATTAACACTTGTTCTATTCTCATGCACTTTCTAATATACAGAGATTTCTGGCCCCTGTATCCCGGCTTCTACATAAATATTATTTTGAAACATTTAACCTTCTGTTTTAACATTCCAGATGTCTAAGAAAGAAGTCAAGATTTTGGTTTCTGAGATGAGGTCATTGTGAGTGACTTAGAAATGTTAAAAATTCAGCCAAAACTTAAAAATTATGTTATAGTTTACCATCAAGATTTAAGCTGAATTAGACATCAGCTGTATATTTATGGTAATAAAAAATAATTCTTTAGTGATATTTCAGAGAATGGCTTCCCCCAGTAAACATGTGAATTAAAAGCTGTAGAAATTTCTTCTTTTATCTTTGTATACTTTTTACTTTAGAATTCCAACTTTTCCTAGTTAAAATTTTTCTAAACAGATGAACTTTTTATTTGAAAGACCAATGATTCTTCAGTATAAATGTTTAAGCCATTTTTAAGAAGTTAAAGCTATTGTGCTTATACTTGTTGTAAGTCAGTTCACTTAATATAAGTACATGTTTTTTATTTAATATTAAGTTCCTCTAAGTTTTACGAAAGAAGCAGAAAGCATTAGACGAGAGTTTTAACATATACTCTTAAAGAATCTCTTAAAAATATGTTGAAGGTAGAGCTATTTAATTTCACATCAAAGTGAATCTTTAATTATATGTTTGCATAATTTAAAAAATTACGTCTCACAGCTTTTTTTAATGCCTAAGTTTGGTACATATTTTCCCTCAGTAGTATGATGATGATAGTTGCATGCTAAATACCAGGAAAAAAAAATAGTATGGTAATAATAATAGCAGTTACCATGGACCAACTATACACCACCACACAGCATACTAAACTGCTTATGTATGTTTTTCTTTTAATCCTCAGACTGGCCTAATGAGTTTGGCAGTTTTATTGTCATTTTTTATAACCATAATTCTTGGTTCATTATATATTCTCCTCATTAGTTTGTGCTTGAACCTTTTCTATATGTTTGTGTATATGCGTATGTTTTTTATTTCCAATACTATAGTAAGCATTTTAGAAGTTAGAAAACTAAAAGTTAAAAGTGAAGTAGTTGTCCATGGGACATCCAGCTGCTATAAGTAGGGGAGCCGGGTTTAAAACCCATTTGTGTCTGATTCTAAAACCTGTGCTGTTCACTACTATAATTGCAGAAAAAGCTTCTTTGATCATCCTCTGTAAAATAGTTTCCCTGTCTCTTTCTCTTCTTACTCTGCTCTGTTTTTCTTCTTTGTGCATATTACCACTTGACAAATGTGTATATTTCTAATTTGTTGTTTGTCTCCCTTCTTAAGTTCACTAATCTCCCAAAACAGTTCCAGGCATTTGTAGGTGCTTAGTAGATACTGGTTGAAATGTAAATGAATGAATGAATGTAATGAGTGTATTACGTATGCAATCAGTGCATATATTATTTTAAGATGTGATAGATTTAGTGTTTCCCTCTCTTTACACCGTTATTTCTGTTACTATATCTGTATTAGTAAAATCAGTATGCTTCTTGCTAAAATATGGAATTTGAGTTAATATAAAAGTAGTTATGCTTACCAAAATTATCTTGCTCACTTGTTTTATGAATTTGTTCTTACAAGGAAAATGCTTTTTATTTTCAAATCAGCCTCTTATTAGTAACTGAAACCTTTCTGTTTTTTAGACTGTTATCTCAGTGTATGGAGTATTTTGATTTGAGATGCCAGTTATTAGATGATCTGACAAGTAAGTAAATGACTAATATGTAGGGGAGAGGGGCTGGGGAAGAGTAGAAGAGAAAGTCACACGGACATTTCTAAATATGATTTACATATCTCAGGTGTAAATACAATTACAATTGTTTGAAGTTGAACCTTGTTTTCTTGAAAATAGCATATAAACCTGTGTACCAGTGAGCTCTTCTTCTGTTACATAACCAGTCATTAATGAATTGAGAACATTTGTTGATTTTTTAAATTGTCAAAGGCTCATATTTTAATTACACTGATACGAAACTATTGTGAAGGGTCTTTCTCTCCGGTGTAGTCTGTTATAATTTTAAAGGTTGATTGTTGAAGGAAAGAGGGACTCTTTGTTGCGGCATGTTGATAGTGTTAGAAGTCAGTTCATTAGTGTTAGTTGTAAAGTATCATGGTTAGAAATTCTTTTGTTAGTGTGCTGAGATTTTAATCATCTGTACTTACCCTTAAATAATGTAAATGTACTTTGGAATGCTCTGTGTAAATTTTAGTTCAGATCATGAGTTTGTTATTCTCCGCTCTTCACAAAGAATTTGCTTCAGCTTACAGGAAATTAATAAAATAAAAATCAGGATCCACAAAAATAGCAATTGGTAAAGAACGTCAAGACCAGGAGGAAAAAAAATACCTCAGAATTAATTTCTGAGGTTCCTGAAGGCCAGAGGTAAAAAGGAAGCAGCGTATGGTTAGTTGTTCAAATACCCTGTAAGAAGAAATAGAATAGTTTCTCAAAAGAAGCAAATCTCTTTCCCAGCACCTAAGTCTAAAAGAAATTTCATACAAAGGCCATCATGTAATGGACACATAAAGACAGTGACTAATAATCCTCAACAACATTTCTATGGTGGCAGATGCTTTCATCAGTTTCGTAAGTGTCTGTCAAAAACAGGAGGTGGCCAGGCGCAGTGGCTTACGCCTGTGATCCTGGCACTTTGGGAGGCGAAGGTGGGTGGATCACTTGAGATCAGGAGTTCGAGACCAGCCTGGCCGACATGGTGAAACCAAAAACACAAAATCAGCCGGGCGTGGTGGCACGTGCCTGTAATCCCAGCTGCTCGGGAGGCCGAAGCAGGAGAATCGCTTGAACCCAGGAGGCAGAGGTTGCAGTGAGCAGAGATTGCATCACTGCACTCCAGCCTGGGCGACAGAGCGAGACAGAGTCTCCAAAAAATAAAAAATAAAAACAGGCCACATTGCTCTGAGCAATGCAGTGGAATTGGTCTCGTGGAGAGGGAGTTAATACAGTGTGAGAGTGTGTCTTGATTCAGAGAGAAGATCTGTTGGATCTAGCGAAGTGGGTGGACTACATGTCCATCTAACAGTCTCACATAACACTGGTTTTCACCCAGGCTCCCAGGGAAAGCTGACCAGCAGCCATACAGGCTTTGCTTTCTGCTCTGCAGCAAGGACAGGAATCATGAGTTGGCTACACACATGCAACTTTGAAATGAGTGAACGAGTTATTAATGTAGACCTTCCCTGTGTTGTTGAGTGATAAATGAGGGACCCAGGATCTCTTGTTAAGATCTTGGGAGGTGAGGGGAATTCTCGGGTAATAACATGTCTTGAAACAAACAATATTTGCCAATTCTGGAGTGTATTCCGTAAGCCAGTGCCTATACTAGCACTTCATACACAGCACCCTGCAGTGTAGGTGCTGGTCTCATTGCATAAATAAGGAAACAAGGTCATACAGTAAGTGGTAGACATAGGGTTTCTATCTGGTCCCAGTCCAGCTCTGACTGACCCTAAAGGGTCCTTCTTCACTTCACCGTGTGGAGACCCTGCTTGCTTCTCACTATAGTGCAGTGGAAGTAGAGCATAATCACTCTTCCTCCCCTCCCAAGTCTCAACTTCCAATATGAAATTGTGCTTTAAGTCCTTGTTTGAAGGGGCAAGTGAGATACATAATACAAAAGAACAGAGTAGTTCTCAGGAGTTTGGCACATTGTTTAGAAACCTGGACTCTGGCAGCTGTACTTCTGACCTCATTCTCCTTTGCAGAACTCAGCCCTCCCTTGGTTCAGGTAACACTGCAGGAGTGTTGATTCTCCTTATACCCTTCTACCCCTTCTTTCTCTAGAAGATTTTGTTTCCTGAGACTTCTGCTAACCCCCACCAAACCAGGAGCTCCTTCTGAGCAGGAATTTGTCTCCCTCATCTTATAGCCTCAGCATATGGCACAGTGACCTGCACAGAGGAGGCAACCAATAAGTGGTTTATGAATGGGGGTGACTTCATTCCCTGTGGGCAGCAGCTGTCACCTACTATTTGTTAATGACAGTTTTGTGGGGTTTTTGTGTGTTTTTTTTTTTTTTTTTTTTTTTTTGAGACAGAGTCTTGCTCTTTTGCCCAGTCTGGAGTACAGTGGCGTGATCTCAGCTCACTGCAACCTCTGCTTCCTGGGTTCAAGCAATTCTCCTGCCTCAGCCTCCCGAGTAGCTAGGACTACAGACATGCACCACCGTGCCCGTGTAATTTTTGTATTTTTAGTAGAGATGGGGTTTCACCATGCTGGCCAGGCTGGTCTCGAACTCCTGACCTCATGATCCGCCCACCTCAGCCTCCCAAAGTGCTGGGATTACAGATGTGAGCCAGCTCGCCTGGCCTTAATGATAGTTTTTTAAAGATCTGTAAAGTGAAAGATTGGGGCTTGACTTTGCTTACTTTAATTCAGGACTTTGACTCCATAAAGGGAAATCCTTCTTTCTTTGTAATGGATTTTTTTTTTCCTTCTTAGCTTCAGAAATGGAGCAGTTAAGGATCAGCCCAGCTACGATGCTTGAAGATGAGATTACTTGGCTGGATAACTTTGAACCTAATCGTACAGCTGAATGTGAGACCAGTGAAGCGGACAACATCTTACTGGCAGGGCACTTACGCCTCATCAAGACCCTTCTTTCACTCTGTGGGGCAGAAAAGGAAATGCTTGGTAATTATTGCTCCATCTTATCACATGGCAGATTCTTCAGTGCTCGGTTATTGCCAGTACTGTGTGTAAGTGGGAAAATAAGATAGATGCCAAGTGTTCCATGGAAAATTGACCCTTCACACAGTAGGAAATTGTCCGTTATTTTAGTGGCTAACAAACTTAAGGTGTACTTTACCTGTGTCATTAAACAACATAGAGAATTTTATGGTGTTCAAAATAGCTGGATCACATAACTTCCTAATACCAAGTAAGAATTATAATTCAAAGTAGATTTTTCTCTTTTTGCTGTTATGTACTTTGTAATACATAATTTACTGTCTGTCTTCTTTTAAGGGTGATTCTCATCTGAAGAGGCAGCCCCTAACCACCCCTGCCCTCCAGTGGTGGGGTACATATGAGATTCTCCTAGGGTACACATGTAATTTGTAAAAGATTATTCAGTATTATAAATTGTATTCAGAAGACAAATGAAAAATTAACTCTCTCTTTTATAACACAAACCAAGCTTTACAAAATATTCTTGGCTACTGGGGATACATAGAAAAGAGTGATTCTTAACCAGAGAGAGAAAGGCATATCATTTTAAACTAAAAAGGCAAGATTTTAAAAGTTTCAGAAACCCTTATGTGGACTCCCCTATGCCCAGAGTAAGAACTGTTCACTCAAACCATTCTGCCTTGTGGTGTCCTTGGCACTTCTGTTTCTAAAGTGAAAGCTTGACTCCTTTCACTGTATTGTAAGCCCATAAAGGAACACACCCTCACCTGCCTGTCTTTGTATTCTGTCCCCTTTGTAGTCTACCCCACAAGCTTTGCCATGTAGTAAGTCCTCCAAAAACAAACATTAAATTAAACTAAATGCTCTGCTATTGGGTGGCATTGGGTACCTTTGCTGCTCTGATAAGAAAGTGCAAGATAGGATCTTTGAATTAAAATATGTGTTCATCTTCAACATGAATATTATGCTCTATTCCAGGTTCATCACTCATTAAACCATTGTTAGATGACTTCCTTTTCCGAGCTTCTAGAATTATTTTAAATAGTCATTCTCCAGCTGGCAGTGCCGCCATCAGTCAACAGGACTTTCATCCAAAGTATGGAAAATGCACGTTGTGTTCAGTTTTGGTAAAAATTCTAATTTGAAACTTCAGTCCCAAAAGATTTTGTTAACTTGGAGTTTGTCTTCCATCTGTGAGTCTGTGTATCCTATATTATCCACTAAATGAAGAAATGCACATGAAGCGGCTTAGCATAAAGCCTGCCTGGCACATAGTAAGCACGGAGCAAGTGTGCTGGTACCATTATTATCCTCAGAATGGAGAACAAATAAAAATGTGGCTAACTTGGTCAGTAACAAATGCCAAGAGAAACGAAGGTTATAAAAATTATGTCGAAAGTACAAGTAAATAGGCTCTGAGTAAAATCTTGAAGGTTTCTCAGGAGAAAACGATAGGTGCTTTAGTGCATGAACCTTGTCGTTTGCTGAGTGCTGGCTGTGTTCTGTTAACTGCAACTGCTTGTGATTTATTACAGTAGTAATTTTGGAATCAAATTTTGTATTAGTTTTATGGGTACAAATTTGAAAGATCTCTTTGTAATGTTGACCCTCCTTGAGTGGTATTTATACTCTTGGAGGTAGGAAGAAGAGGCAGAGCTACAAGCTGCTATTTCATTTGCTCCAAATCTAACTAACTTTGTTCCTTTCTCATGAAAACCAGAGTTAATTGAGTAATCCTGAAGAAACTATTTGCTGTTTATAGTGAAAAGGGTTCCTGTACAATTTCAGTGGTTATTGAAATGGACAAGGCATAATAAGCAGTATTTTGTGGAATCCTAAGAGGTATCTTATCACATATAAATATTTCTCTACTTAAAGTTGCCTCATTAGCAAAATCTGTTTTAGGTAAGAAAAAAAAGTAAAACCCTTTATTAGAACTCTTGGGGTATTCCTCAGGCTGTGACTCCCATCCTCATTGCTACCCCAGCCCTGTTTTGGAAGATTTGGTGCTAGGTCTATGGTAGTCTTTTATTAAAGCAGCAGAAACAAGTGAATATTTTAATTTTCAGTAAACACAAAAGATATATCTTTAGCAGTTTTATTATTAATAAAAGTAGTTCCTCCATAAATGAAGAAGGAAGGAGTGTTTTTGTAAAAATCATATACAGTGCCTTGATTAAAAAAGGAAACATTTGTTTCATCCCTCCCCATTGTACTGAATGGTGTTGATTTATCACAGTAATTCCCAGTCTTTTCCCACCAAAACCTTCAAGGAAGAAAGAGATTTAAAATACACAGAAACTCTTTTCAGAAGTAATGCTATTTTGTATCACAGTAATAAAGCAACTTTTAGTGTTTAGCCTGTGTAAATGGCACCTCCCTATTCTTTTCTTACTGTCCTTTGCAACCCTGAAGTTCAGATAAGAAGCAAAGGACAGTGCCAGCTCCATGGCCATTGTCCTCAGTGCCTGGTGTCGTGCTGGTCTAAAAGCCTCATAAGCCCCCTTAAATGCCTCCTCCTACATTCCCTAAGTGTTTCACTCAGAGGTTGGCTATCCTCTTTTCTGTGTATCCTTCCTAACCAGTGATCCCTCAGTAATGCAAGGTTAGCATTGGTTAAAGTGAGATATTATTGTCCATCCCCAAAGTGGTTTATACTACCAGGCAGGCAGTGTAGAAAGCCTTTGATTTCATGCAGAATGCTTGCTAGTTATCTTTTGTGTCACTTTAAACGAATTGATTTGACAAACTGTATTTTTGTCTCCATTTTTTTCATAGAAAGTCCACATAAAATGTTTATGGCTATCTATTCTGGGTTTTACAGCTTTCTTTTGCTGCCATCCTAAGATCTTCTTAGGATGACAGCGATAAAATCTTTCTACTTACCTATTTTATTTGAAAGACAGTTATTCCCATGTCATCTTTATTACAGAGTTCTCTTTACTCTTTCTCCTCCATTCTTGCTGATCCATTCATTAGATGAGACTATTCTGATCATAAGTGAAAGAATTTTACTACTTTATCATCAGGCCAAGAAGATAGTTACTAATTCCTCCTGTATTCATGACCCCTGGATTACTGGATGTCTGGGGTTAGACCTGACTTAAGTATGTTTGAGGAATTGGAGCTCTTCTACTTTCATTTCAACTGTTGATTTAGTTTAATGAGTAATTTAAGTAGATTATTCATTGTTGAAATTGACTTGTGTCTTTTGTTTCTAGGTGTAGTACAGCGAATAGCCGATTGGCAGCCTATGAAGTCCTTGTGATGTTGGCTGATAGTTCACCTTCAAATCTTCAAATTATTATAAAAGAACTGCTTTCTATGCATCACCAGCCTGACCCTGCTCTTACCAAGGAGTTTGATGTAGGTTTTCTAGACGTTGATGAACTTAATTTTTTTAGAATGATCTCTGAAACATATAATTTTAAGACTGTATTTGCATTCTGCTGACCACAAAGAAAGTCAGTATTACTATTTTGCTTACTGTGTTCACATACTCAAATCAAGTATAAGCTATAGTATCACTCTAATATACTGAATATATTATGAAATAGTATCCTTTTAATTAAAGAGGGAGAGGCATTTTCAAGTTGCTTGGTAGTTATTCTCAGTAAAAAGTAGCATTCCAACCTATTTTTTCAGTGACTTTATGCTGGGCATAGGCCAGACCCTAGAGATACAAGTCAAATAAACATTGGCTCTATCACAGTACAGCCTATGTGCAGTTAAATTCAACCAAAATTTATTGAGTTTAGTATGTGCTAAAAGGCATATTAGGCTTTTGGAGGTCAAAAATGAAAATAGGATCCCAGCCCTCAAGAAGGTCAGTGTATAGTGAAAGAGACAGGCCCATAAGCAGATAGTTTCAATGTAATGTGATACAATATGAGATAGAGGTATGTCCTCAATGCTCTAACACAGAGAGGCACTTCACCACCAGCTGTTGGTATCTCAGAAGGCTTCTTAGAGGAGCTGAAACTTAAAATAGGGCCATAAAAACTAGTGAACCAGGTGAAGCAAGGTGGGAAGGTCATTCCATTCCAGTAATGAGAAGAATATGAACACAGCTGTGGAGACATGAAATAGCTTAGTGTATGTTGGGATCTGCGAGAGGGAAGTATATTGCAGGTCCACTGGAATACAGACTAGAAATGGGAAGATGCTTTCAAAGCTGCCGTTTGTGTTCTCTGACATCACAGAAAGTCAGACTTACCCTTTGGATGCCTGAGTTAAGTATTACAGAACATAGAGGTTAGGTAGGAAAGGAAGTGGGGACAGATGTCCTAAATAGAGGGAGTAGCACTTGGCAAAGACTTAGAAATGTGGGCTCTCATAAGTTGGAAATGGTTTTGATTGATCAAAATGGTTTATAATGCTTTAGTTTATAGGTTATGTTATGTGTTACTTTAGATGCATTTATTTAATCAGATTTAAATGAACTTCTTATGTTTTTCCTTACATCAAAAATTATATCAGCATAATGGAGGCAATATCTGTGTTAGATAAATATTTATATTTTTAGCACTGTTACAAACCAGTTTTTTTTTTTAAATCTATGCTTTGGACTACAAATAAATTTCGGTGTTAATTAGGTCTTAGAAATAATCCTGCTGTAAGTATATGTCTGATGTTAATGAAGAGTAAGTAATACTTAGGAATTCCTTGAGATCTAGAAGACCTATACATTTTTGTCTGCTAGTTGGTTATTACATGGATGCAGATACTTAATATGTGCAGATAGCATGATTCTGGTCATGGCATGAGAACCAAGATCTTTGAATAGCATTTCAAAGTGTAAAATTACAGTATCCTTTTCCACTTGAAGAAGTGCCATGTTGAACTTTATCCACTATGCTTTTTCTGGATCATTTCTACCCAGAAAAGCACTGTACTGGGGTCTATGTTATTTCAAAACACCTGTAAGTAAAATGGTAGGATAGTCACCTATTTAATTATATGTTTACTGGAAGAAGTTTAATAGAAGAATGTTACCTTCTCTAAAAGGAATTACAATATGAGCCTTTTTTTGCCATCCAGATTGGTCAGGATCCTTCATGGTAATCACTTCGTAGACTCACATTCCTTTTTTTCAGAGTACTACCTTAATTCATGAATATATAGTAGGACATTTGCTTGATTATGCCTCTTTACCCTAATAGACTGTAAGTGCCTTGAGATCAGGGGCCGTGCACATTTCTGTTCTCTCTTATATCCCATGCACAGTGCCTGGCAGATAGAAGGGTATTTAATCAATATTTGTTGAATGATAATCAAGTAATTATATAAATAAACAAATACACACCTATCTGCCAGGTATTTTATGACTGAAAAAGCAACATTGAGATAGCAGTATTTGATAATTATATCAGCATCTGCAGAGGTACTTCATGAACATAGGTTTTGCCAGCATAGCTTTCATAACATGCTGGATGGGTAAATCTGTGAATATATCTCCCGCATAGCTATAGTGTAAATGTGTCTGTGGCAGAAATGCTCATTCTTCTCCTCTGCTGTTTCTATTCCTCTCTTTTCCAGTACCTTCCCCCAGTGGATAGCAGGTCCAGTTCAGGGTTTGTGGGGCTGAGAAATGGTGGTGCAACTTGTTATATGAATGCAGTCTTCCAGCAGCTGTATATGCAACCTGGGCTCCCTGAGGTGATTTCTTTTTTCTATCCTTTTTGGTACGATAGATAATACGTGCGTTACTTGAAAATTGTTTCATAGTTTTTTATTGCTTTTGGGGTTTCCTAAAACAAGACATAACTTGCAATTCTTTAGTAGCTCCTGAAATGTGTAAAGACATGTTGTGTATAATCACACATTTTTATAAAGTTGCTGTTGTAATAAGCTGCCTGTATTACAGATGGACTTGACCTAATGTGATTTTTGAACTCCAAAGTTGTTTTTAAATTATATTCCATAAAGTTACTGACAGTTTTAGTATTTTAGAAATATATAGGGTCTACCATGAGCACTTTACAATAATATGGTCAGTGGTTTTGAGAGTATTCCATGTGTACTGGGCTACGCTTATTTCCTGTAGAGAACCTGGTATTACTAGACCAGTTTTTCATAATCAGAGTTTAAGGACATGATTTTTTCATAATTACACCAGCTAGGAATTATTAAAGTTAAATATCTGCAGCATTATAGCCATGTCCAAACATACATAACATTCTAAAAAAGCAATGTGGGTACTAACATGTACATATGTCAGAGTTTCCTGTGAAGCATTTTAAATATTTCAAGCTTGATATGTTTCTTTTCTGTGCAGTCATTACTTTCAGTGGATGATGACACAGACAATCCAGATGATAGCGTGTTTTACCAAGTGCAGTCTCTCTTTGGACATTTAATGGAAAGCAAGCTGCAGTACTATGTACCTGAGAATTTTTGGAAGGTATTTCACCCAGTAACTCTTGAGATTTAAAGATGTTAAATATTTGGCTACATTCTTTCTCTAATGGTAATGGTTTTTTGTTTTTATTAACTTTAGACTAATCTCTTGCCAAGAAACTGTAAAAGGATTTGGTATACCATTGTTGAAATTGGTACTTGGTTTCAAATCATTAGAATGTTGAGAATAGTCATTCAATTCCTAGGAATTTGCTCATCTTAATTATTTTGAATATTTTTAATGATTCTTATTTTAGTTCTTTGAAATATTTGTTCATATCATTCCCCTGACCCTGTGCCGATTTCACTAATGTCTTTAAATAAAGAACACTTTTTTTTTTTTTTTGAGACGGAGTTTCGCTCTTGTTGCCCAGGCTGGAGTGCAATGGCGCAATCTTGGCTCACCACAACCTCCACCTCCTGGGTTCAAGCGATTATCCTGCCTCAGCCTCCCAAGTGGCTGGGATTACAGGCATGCACCCCCATGCCCGGCTAATTTTGTGTTTTCAGTAGAGATGGGGTTTCTCCGTGTTGGTCAGGCTAGTCTTGAACTCCCGACCTCAGGTGATCCGCCTGCCTCGGCCTCCCAGAGTGCTGGGATTACAGGCGTGAGACACCACATCCGGCCAAGAATACTATTTTTAAACATTGCTTTACTGTGTTTCACATATTGGAGGATCACCTTGTGTTTTTCCCCATAGGTTGATTTGTTTCTAAGAGAGAAATTCTCTGTTCCATGGCCTAGATCTTACCCAGTACCCACTTTTGATTTCAGAGACTTGTTATGATTGTAAGGGGACTAGAAAAAAGGGTGGATGGCTGAATACAAGCTAGTCTCACTTCACTAGAAATGTCCACATCCTAATAGTGAACCTGATTTTTATAAGCATTTAAGTGCTCTTTCATGTTCCCTTTCTACCACATTCAGAAATTGCTACTTTTCCTTTAAAAACATTTAATTTTTGTTATATAGATTTTCAAGATGTGGAATAAAGAACTTTATGTGAGAGAACAGCAGGATGCATATGAATTCTTTACTAGTCTCATTGATCAGATGGATGAATACCTCAAGGTAGTAAAAGTTGTACTTTCCCTCTAACTCCCTCAAACTCTAATTATAGTATGAGAATAGTGTCTTAGCATTTGGGGTTACTATGAAACTGACGAATCAGAAATTGATTATCTTTAACATAAGAACTATAATGTATTCTGTGTTTAAACATCAAAACATAACACAGATCAATAGAATTGTATATTTTCTCTTTTTTTTCTTTTCTTTTTTTTTGAGACAGAGTCTCGCTCTGTCACCCAGAGTGGAGTGCAGTGGCACAATCTCAGCTCACTGCAACCTCTACCTTCCAGGTACAAGAGATTCTTGCACCTCAGCCTCCCGAGTAGCTGGGATCACAGGTGTGCACCACCACGC
The DNA here is from genome assembly GCF_000001405.40 of Homo sapiens. Lineage (NCBI taxonomy): Eukaryota > Metazoa > Chordata > Mammalia > Primates > Hominidae > Homo > Homo sapiens. Next base: position 55,099,416 of record NC_000001.11, on the reverse strand, counting down.
CCGGCTAATTTTTGTACTTTTTGGCAGAGATTGGGTTTCGCCATGTTGGCCAGGCTGGTCTCAAACTCCTGGCCTCCAGAGATTCACCCACCTCAGCCTCCCAAAGTGCTGGGATTACAGGCTTGAGGTACCATGCCTGGCCTAGAATTGCATATTTTCTTAATTCATCTAACGCTCAGTAAAGTATGTAACTCTTAATCTCTACTACATAGTAATAACCATTCCTACCTACATATTCTTTCTGTGTGTCTACTGAAATAATCTGGCCTCAGAAGAGTGCTGCAGTCACTGGTGAGCTGATGGCCCTGTGCAGAGCAGAGAGTGCTCTGGCACAGGGGAGAAAGGAGCCAGATTAAAAAGTTATTCGTGGTGCTGTTGAAACCCAAAGCTCTCTACCTCTACCCTGTAAGCCATGTGGCAGACTTCCTAAACGGTATTGCCTTCTCAGATCCCGCTGTCACTGCCAGCATTGGCCTCTCATCAGTAGGCACAATTCTTCCATTTTTTAAAGTAACTTGCAAATTGATGGCATTCTATCCACAAGAAAAAAGAAAAGATTGCTGAGAGTTGCCCCTAACTTGGTCCTTGTAGCACAGGGAGAAGGATTCAGAATCACCCTGGAGAACACTCTCTTGTCATTAGCTCTACCTGACCCATCCCTCCTCCTCTTCCTCTTCTGATCGTCTGCATCACTCTGACAGTGGGGCCAATAATGGGTTTAGCCTCCATTCACCACAGCTGATACTACCAGAATGACGCGTTTTGTTTTGGTCCTTAAATTGCAATGTGTTAATAAAATTCTGTATACTCATAAGTTCAGGAGGCATCACTTAAAACTGTAACTTTTCATTCCAACAGAAAATGGGGAGAGACCAAATTTTTAAGAATACATTTCAGGGCATCTACTCTGATCAGAAGATCTGTAAAGACTGTCCTCACAGGTGAGTGAAGATATCACCGACACAGGAAAAATGATCATCCTTTTGAAGTGATTTGTTTAGTATGTTGTAAATTTTGCATTTGTTAAGAGACTTAGAACTCTCTCCCTGTCAACAGATCTATAAGTATTTAGTGACTTAAATTTCTTTGCTTTCTACTTCCAGAAGGAGAAAAAATTTCTTTGTGGGCTTAAGAAAATATTCATTGAAATTCATAATTTTAGGCAATTCTTAATTGTCACAAAGTGGCATTTTAACTTAGTAATGGACTTTTAAAATATTGAGGGACTCCCAGATTAAAAATGTAGTTCTGTGTTCAAGCTTAGGTATTATGATAATTGAAGAGTTTTAAATTCCATTGTTGATTGTGGGTTTTCTGTTATTTCCTAATCAGATATGAGCGTGAAGAAGCTTTCATGGCTCTCAATCTAGGAGTGACTTCTTGTCAGAGTTTGGAAATTTCTTTGGACCAATTTGTTAGAGGAGAAGTTCTAGAAGGAAGTAATGCGTACTACTGTGAAAAGTGTAAAGAAAAGGTATTATGTTTGCCCTTTTTAAAAAACAAGATTAATTTGTTATTCGCATAGTGCGTCTTTGTTTTATGTAAAATCAGTATTAAGCTCCTACTGTTATTTCCATTAGATTGTGTCATTACTTGTTTTCACATGGATCAGAAAGGCCTTTGCATTAATTACTGTGCTGTTTTATTTTCTCCATGGAGATCATTCAGATTTGCTCTTTTTCCTTTTTTTTTTCTTTAGAGAATAACAGTGAAAAGGACCTGTATTAAATCTTTACCTAGCGTCTTGGTAATTCACCTAATGAGATTTGGGTTTGACTGGGAAAGCGGACGCTCCATTAAATATGATGAACAAATAAGGGTAACTTTTTTTCTTCCTGAAATTTTTCACAACCATTCATTTCCTCACTCACTTCTTTTTTTTTCCTTTTTCAATTTTCATATTCTGTCTACCATGTTAAGGCTGTTGTCTCAGCATTATGAAGAGCCCCTTATCTTAGGCAGCTGCTGTTACCGGAATAGGCAGATCTGGAAACAGTGGCCCTCATTTCTAGAAGGCATCCTAGTGATTACTATGAAGGAAAATGCCTTCCTTAGGGCTCAAACCAGAGGCTACTTTAGACGTTCCCAGACTTAACATTTCTGAGATTTTATACTTGAACTGGTGAGGTAGTTGTTCCTAGCTTAAACTAGGAAAACACTTCCTCTTATTTGGATCTCACTTAACTGGGTACTGCTGTATATGTTAGTAATCAACGTTAATATGGTCTTTTTGCTTCTACATAGTTTCCCTGGATGCTAAACATGGAGCCTTACACAGTTTCAGGAATGGCTCGCCAAGATTCTTCTTCTGAAGTTGGGGAAAATGGGCGAAGTGTGGATCAGGGCGGTGGAGGATCCCCACGAAAAAAGGTTGCCCTCACAGAAAACTATGAACTTGTCGGTGTCATCGTACACAGTGGGCAGGCACACGCAGGCCACTACTATTCCTTCATTAAGGACAGGCGGTAAGAGTTTCCTGAGGCAGCACTTACTCACTTTCTGCCCTCCCCTGCTCTCCGTTATCATCCATACTCACCGCTGTGGTGCAGGGACACTTTGGCATTGTTCTTGACTGTGTTTCATTTTGAAGTTTTAAAGCTTCGTGCAACTGGTTTTACCCCTTCAATTTGAAAAGTTGTTTTAGAAATTGAAATAATTGTTGCTACATATTTCTTAGATATTTTCAAATGGTAAACACCTGCTTTATTTGTAGACAATACATTGAGATCAATGCTAAGGATGAGGAGGTTGATTTTTTTAACCTTATAATGTTTGTCTGATCTCTGGGTTCTAGAGGGTGTGGAAAAGGAAAGTGGTATAAATTTAATGACACAGTTATAGAAGAATTTGACCTAAATGACGAGACCCTGGAGTATGAATGCTTTGGAGGAGAATATAGACCAAAAGTTTATGATCAAAGTAAGTATTTACAAATGGATATTTTCCATTAGTTTTTTTATTTATCGTTTTCTATAAAAATTAATAGTATTCTTTATATAAAAACACAACAGATTTTGTTATTTTTATTGTACTACTGTTCTAGCAATAGAACCATGAGCAAGCTCTTTAATAACCAAAGTGAAAATGTTCAAGCTGTTTATAAAAATTTTTTTAAATAATTTCTTACAACAACCTTGAGGGATAGGTAGGGGAGCTGGGAGTAAGTTAAAAGGATGAAATGAGCATCAGAGAGAAAGTAATGAATACTGAAATTGAACCTTAAAAATAGTTTTGGAAGTAGTTATCCATTAAAATTTTCAGATTTCCTTTTCACTTATGTAGAGGTGTGACTAATTAGAGAAGACATTTCTAGCACCTGTGTTTTTAAAACCATATTTATTATGCAGTGTGGCAAAGCAGTCTTTCCCTCTACAATCCCCACTCCCAGGAAAAAAGAGTATGAGGAGAAGTACAGCCCAATCAGAACTTGCTATTTGATAAAAAGCTATTTGGTGGAGACCTTAGCATTTCAGAAACCTGATTTTGAAATCTTCTAGTGGTATTTCTAAATTTTTAGCTGTATTGGATTCACTGTATTAGATTTTGATACCATGCCATTATAGTTAAGCATCTTATGGTGGTAACCTTTAAGAGTTGGATATAGTATTGTCAGAATTTGCCTGGATTTGGCCGATCTTGGCAGAAATGGTTAAGTGAGGCCAGTTATCCCATCTTGTGCCACAGAACATATTTTTAAATGTCACTTGCTATTTGCTTACATTTAGACCTCCCTAGGATACTTACCTTCTTTCTCTTACTCCATTACCATACTGCTCCCTTATTCCTTGTCCCCACCTATATCACTTCCAAGTGAGAGATCCAGCTAGGCCCACAACTGAAGTATCCTGACTTCCATGCTAAGCAGTACTCTAAAGACACTCACATTTTACTTATACTTTGCATTTTACAAACTTAGGGAGTAGTTAACTACTTGCTGGAATAATGGGCCCTTTGTTTTAGATTGTCAAGACAAGAAAAACTTTTATTTACAGATGTGTTTCTTAATGTCTTGTTATAAAGCAAACCCATACACTGATGTGCGCCGAAGATACTGGAATGCCTATATGCTTTTCTACCAAAGGGTGTCTGATCAGAACTCCCCAGTATTACCAAAGAAAAGTCGAGTCAGCGTTGTACGGCAGGAAGCTGAGGATCTCTCTCTGTAAGTGTCTCTTCCATGTAATTTGCTGTGTGATTTCTATGGTGATGATGTGGTCTGTGACAATATACTATTTGAGATTTTAAAGATAATTAGCTAAGCTGGAGAGAAATTCTAAAAAGAATTCCAAAAAGAAAATAAATCCCTTATTGCTTCATGGTTATTTTCTTGGCAAGAAGTTGTTACATATTTAGAAACATGCACGTAAGTTATTTCATTCTAGAATTGAAGTGTTTTGTTTTTTGTTTTTTTGAGACAGTGTGGTCTCACTCTGTCACCCAGGCTGGAGTGCAGTGGCATGATCATAGCTCACTGCAGCCTCGACCTCCCAGGCTGAAGCGATCCTTCCACCTCAGCCTCTTGAATAGCTGGGACCACAGGCGAGGGGCACCAGGCCCAGATATTTGGTTTGTCTGTTTTTTGTAAAGATAAGGTCTCCCAATGTTGCCCAGGCTGGTCTGGAACTCCTGGGCTCAAGCAATACTCCCATCTAGGCCTCCCAAAGTGCTGGGATTATAGGCATAAGTCACCATACCTGGACTTTTTTTTTTTTTTTTTTTTAATGTTAGCAGCATTTGTTGAATACACTTTTTGTCCAAAGCATAATGCTATGCCAACACTGTCAGAATGTTGTTGTTTTTTAAAGGTCCTATTGTCAGTGAATTTGCCTTTTAATATATTGGGTCAGGAAAGTGTTTACTTTTTCATGTGAGAAATATGACTATATGTGTTTTATTAAATTTGAAAACTTGGTTCAATACTTTGTTCTTACACGACTTTGAGTGTGTGGCTCTAAGATAAGTTTATTTCACTGCTTTTTTAATGGCTGGGAAAGATATCTCACAATAATATGAAGGAAGAATTCATTTTGTGCTTAAATGTTAAATCTCATATGCCACTTAAGTAAAAATTTGTGTTAAATTTGCCCTGCACTATTTTATCTTCTATAATGTCAATCAGTTCTCCCAACTAATTAGAAAGTATTGCATTTTTAATTTCTTAATTGTTACATTATGATTGTATATATTTATGTGGTACAGTTTTATGTTTCGATACATGTATAATAATCAAATAGTCTAATACCCGTTTATGTGAATTTGGCAAGTCTTAGTAACTACTGAAAAAATAGCCACTTTATACTAGACAGAGTTTTCTGATTCTATCTCTTAGGTCAGCTCCATCTTCACCAGAAATTTCACCTCAGTCATCCCCTCGGCCCCATAGGCCGAACAATGACCGGCTGTCTATTCTTACCAAGCTGGTTAAAAAAGGCGAGAAGAAAGGACTGTTTGTGGAGAAAATGCCTGCTCGAATATACCAGGTAAGAACCATATAAAAAATTCTAAGGGGGAATATCCACGTGGACATCAAAATGTATCTAGTAGGTCCAGAAGTACTTCTGCTGGATTAGTTGTACCACTGGGGCTACATCGTCTTACACACTTGTCTCATGAACCTTTTATGCCACGACACAGAGGGGGCCATAGAGCTAGAGCCATGGAGTGCTAAGAACACAAGTATGAATACACACTCATGATTGGCAGGCACAATCACTGACCTGCTCTGTGAGTGTGAAATGTCACAAATAAACAGAGTTGTGGGGAGTGGGCAGTAAAGAAATCGTGTTGCTGAAATAAACTTATTTTGTCTGGAGAGAAAAACAAGTTAAGGTTCATAACCTTTGAGTGGGACTAATAAAACAATCATTGGCCATTATTTATTGAACACCTACTGTGTGCTACGTGCTTTAAGCACATCTTTAATTTGTAAAAGATTATTATGCAGTATCAGGTTTTATTCTCATTTTTTGGATGGAAAAACAGGTTCAGAAAAGAAGAAGTATGTGCCAGTGTCACAGGACAAGGATCTAAATTCAGAACTGTCTACTCAGTCCAGACTTTATACACTAATTAATCAAAAGCTCAGTAGCTAGAACAAGAGAATTTGAGAAAAATATCGAGTCTTACATTAAGAAAGAAAGAGAATTAAGCCATCTGACATAAAGGAAGCATGGAGTTGGTTGTGCTTGGGAGAGCTCTGTTTATCCCCTTCTACCTAAAATACCAAGTTAGAATTCATTTGTCCTTCACATGGCAGTTTACCTGAATTTCCCAAAAGGGTATGGTTTAATGAATAATAGTTCTTATAACATCTTATATGTCAAAGGAAGGTTTTCTCTCTCCTCTTTTAAAAGTTCAAAACTTGAGAAAGGGGAATTATAAATTATAATTCACTTTTTATAAGTGCTTTTTACCTATATTTTTACATATCATTAGAAATGTCCTTCACATATTGAATATTTTTCCATTTCATAAAAATAATTATTAATCTTCTTTTGTAGATGGTGAGAGATGAGAACCTCAAGTTTATGAAGAATAGAGATGTATACAGTAGTGATTATTTCAGTTTTGTTTTGTCTTTAGCTTCATTGAATGCTGTAAGTAACTAACTGGATTGTTAGAAATAAGAAAGGGTTACAATTAAATATGCTTTAGCTAAAGCATTCAGTGATTCATCCTCAGTCTCAGTAGTTAGCATTCAGGTTAGATGCAAAAAGGTTTTCCCGTGAATGTAGCCCGTATTGGGTAATATTAAAATGCAAGCAGCATTCTGAATGTATAATGTAGATGGTGGGGAGGTGTGACTTCCCACATACTGGCTTTCTAAAGTGCCCTTGTTTAGATTTATAAAAGAATCTTAGAATAGCTATAACTGTGAGCTCATGTCAATGGATATTGGTCTTTGTGGAGATTCCTAATTTGTAATAAAATATCACAAGACTAAAGATTAACTTTCAACTACTTTTCCTTGAGTACCATGATTGTAATTTGCCAATAAGGGAAAACAACATTCTTAGTCTCTTGATGACTTAACATCCTGCGGTCTAACAACTGTTTTGAGAGGATTTCATAAAAGAAATGAAGACAATGTCTTTTCTTAACCTTTTTAAAAATTTAAATGGAACATTTTTTTATAATGAACTGGCAAGATTCTTCTTATTAGTATTTAACTTTATCATGTGTGTATATCATATTCATATATTGTGTGTGTATCATAATTTAGTTCGTAACTGTGTAATAATCTATAAAACTTCTGTGAAAAATATCCTCTTTCATGTTTCCCTCTCTTAGACTAAATTAAAGCATCCATATTATCCTTGCATGGCAAAGGTGAGCTTACAGCTTGCTATTCAATTCCTTTTTCAAACTTATCTACGGACAAAGAAGAAACTCAGGTGAGAAGTGATATGTTTTGATAATCTGTTGTGACAGAGGGCACTGGTGAATTCAATTGAAGTTGAATTTATAATTAAAATATTGTGAAAGCAGCTACCTAATTTTATTCAGAGGACTAAGACATGGTCTCTAGCTTTAAGAAACTTCTAACCTAATGGAAAGAATAGCTCAAACAAAAGAGAAATACCTAAAAAGACAATTTATACCAAGGTATAAATTCTGTACATCTTCGAATTGGGCAAAATCATATCCAGATAAGGAGATTAGAGTAGGCTTTAAGACACTGATGTTCTCAGAGGGTTTCGAAAGGCAAAACAGAGAAACACAGAGGGCTCATTTTAGGCAGAAAGGAAAGCCTGAGTAACAGACAAGACTTGGCCTAGGGAACCATGAGTGACTAATTGTGTTTTAGTAGGACGTGTGAGAGACTCCTGGAGCTGAGGCTGAATGTTGGGTTTAGAACTCACTGAGTGCCCTTAGTGCCAGAGCAGGGAGTTTGGGCTGTGTTCAGTGGGAGATCGTGAAAGGTTTTTGAACAGGGAAGTATGTCCAGAGTAATGCCTTAGAACAACAGCCTCCAATATTTTTAGCAACAGGGAGTGGTTTCATGGAAGACAATTTTTCCACAAAAGGGAGGGTTGGGGGGACAATTAGATTCTCATAGGGAACGCACAGCCTAGATCCCTCATGTGTGCAGTTCACAATAGGGTTCATGCTCCTATGAGAATCTAATGCTGCCACTGATCTGACAGGAAGTGGAGCTCAGGCTGTAATGCTCACTGGCACACCACTTACCTCCTGCTGTGCGGCCCTGTTCCTAACGGGTCCCAGGCCGGTACTGGTCCATGGCCCAGGGCTTGGGGACCTCTGCCTTAGAAACTTTACAGACATTGACTGTATCTTATTCATCATTGGTTTTATGGTTTTTTTGGGTTTTTGAGGCAGAGTCTCACTCTGTTGCCCAGACTGGAGTGCAGTGGTGCAGTCTTGGCTCACTGCAACCTCTGTGTCCCGGGTTCAAGCGATTCTTCTACCTCAGCCTCCCAAGTAGCTGGACTATGGGCGTGCGCCACCACACCCGGCAAATTTTTGTATTTTTAGTAGAGACGGGGTTTCGCCGTGTTGAGCAAACTACTCTTGAACTCCCAGCCTCAGGTGATTCGCCTTCCTTGGCCTCCCAAAGTGCAGAGATTACAGGCGTGAGCCACTGTGCCTGGCCTCGTCATCGGTTTTTATCTTCAGCACCTGGTAAGGTGCCTGCACATTATAGGTTCTGGATAAGTCATTGTTCTGTGAATAAATGAGTGAAGAATGAAGAGTATTGAGCAGTGGTTTGTAGAATATACCTAGAGTAAGGGGAGACCCAGGGTGAGGAGACCAGTTAGAGTTAAAAGACTACTTAAGTTCCCAGTCTTTTCCCTCTCACTAGCAAAGTGAGCTTCTCCAAGTATGGAGAGGTTTTTGGACAGATTTTGCAGTCAAGAAACTCTTCAGAAAAAATATATAGTGACAACTTCATTTTTATGTATAATAATCAAAGATATATTAAGTGATCTCAGTCTTTATTATCTGAAAAAGAAAAAATAATGTATCCCTTTCTTTTAATGTCTGGCATAGGATTAACTAATTAGTCACTATGCCTATCCTGGCATAGGATTGGTCACTTTTGTTTGTGAAATTTGCTCATGCTCTTTACACATGGCCCACTATTTCCATTTTGTTTATATGGCCATTTTACACAATGATCATTTTGGGACATTGGGGGATGTAAGGGAGGTGTTATGAGGGCTTGGGTAGAATAGTCATTATACCTTTTTTCTGCCTGAATATTTTTTTTTTATTCCATAAGGTAGGATATTAATGATTTTAGCAATAAAGCATAAAAATGTCAATGTAAGCTATTCTGAAAGTGGACATTTTGTGAGTGTAAATTAATGAAAAAAATGCTATAGTTCAGGCCTTTTGTCTAATTCGAGTTGTTTGATGAAGATGCAGAAGGAAGGTAAAGTCTAAGACTTAAGCTTCTTTACACTTTTTTGTTTGTGGGGAAAGATGAGCCACACCACAAGGAGCCAAGGAATGCAAAGCACTGACTTCCAGAGTACACTGAGCCATGGTAGTGGGCAGTCATTAAGTATCTCTTATCCCTCCACTCTACCCACGAGAGACATACAGAGAGACATTCATAGATAGAAAGGATAAGAACCAACAAGAGTGCACTGCATGAGGTCATTGGCTGGGCTTATGCTCCTAACATTGCTGTATCTGCTTTTTTTTAAAGGGTTGATACTGAAGAATGGATTGCTACCATTGAAGCATTGCTTTCAAAAAGTTTTGATGCTTGTCAGTGGTTAGTTGAATATTTTATTAGTTCTGAAGGACGAGAATTGATAAAGTAAGTGTTGGAGTCTTTTAATTAAAAGAAATTTGTGTCTCTTCCAGTGATTTAGAGCTGAAGTTTCTTATAACCCTTTTTATTTCAACTTGAAATTATTGTTCTGCTTAAAGTCTATTTTAAACTCTCTTCACTGAAACAGTGAGGAAATAATTCAGGTCACTCCAAAATCATCTCAGGCAAGTATTCAGTGACCACAAGAAGAGCCTGTGAGGCAGATCGCCTGCCAGGTACTCATAGGCACGTGGGTCTTAAACCCCTGCTATGGTTCAAAGGGGGTCAGAGACGCAAGTCTCTTCCCTCAGGGACTCGGAATCTGGTGGAAAGAGAGAAACAATCCCAGAGTACCACACATTTCACAATATTGTCTAACTGTGTTTGGATTCTGACTAAAAAATTATTTTTCAAAAATCTACCGGTAGGCCAGGTGCAGTGGCTCGCACCTGTAATCCCTGCACTTTGGGAGGCCACGGCGGGCAGACCATGAGGTCAAGAGATCAAGACCATCCTGGCCAACATGGTGAAACCCCGCCTCTACTAAAAATACAAAAAATTAGCCGGGCGTGGTTGTGGGCACCTATAGCTACTTGGGAGGCTGAGGCAGGAGAATTGCTTGAACCCAGGAGGCAGAGGTTGCAGTGAGCTGAGATCGCGTCACTGCACTCCAGCCTGGCAACAGAGCGAGACTCCACTCAAAAAAAAAAAACTCCTGGTAGTATATTACCTATGATAGTACATCTACCTAGGTACCTGAAATTTAAAAAAGAAAAATTTGCTTTTCTGGCAGAAATTCAGAATGCTCCAATCACTATGAATGTTTACACTTTACTTCTGATCATCCTCATCAAGTCAGCTTCTCTTGTCCTTGGAAGTTCAACATTTATGTGGGGTTCCAGCAAGCACTGCCGTGGTCTCTGGTGTCCTGTCTCCTCTATTCCCCAGTGGGCTCCTCCTTCACTCTGCCTCAGCTGTGCCCACTCCTTACCGCTCGACTTCACTGAGAAAGTACAGATTAGCAAATGAGCATTTCCTACCCCAACCACAGATGCCACACGCCTGCCAGAGTCTGTTCCAGCTTGCCCTTTCCTCTCTTTATTGTAGAGGAAGTATCCTCTCTCCTTTCAAAATGAATCTCTCTACATGTGCACACCTTCTCAAGGAAGTTGACCCTTTAATTATCTCACTCTTAATTCCTGCATCTTTACTTTCTAGAATTTTCTATCACTTCTGTCACTTCTGCCAGCATACAAATATGCTCTGTTTTCTCTCAAAACAAACACACAACAGGGAATTCAGAAACGCAAGTCTCTTCCCACAAGGCGATCACAGTCTGCTGGTAAGTTAGAGATCTTTTCAGAACTGCTGATCCCTGATCCTCTTCCTCTCTAGGTCTGAGCTCCAAACATTTATTTGCCTACTTGATATCTGCACTTTTCCCTCTAATCTATTTCATTCAGCAACAGACCTGTTCTTTTTCAAACAAATTAGATCACATTACCTCTCTGGTTAAAAATTCTTCAGCGGAATCCTGTTGCTCTCAGAATAAAATCCAGAATTTTCACCATTACCCACAAGGCCTTGCTTGATCTGGTTTTTGTCCTTCCAGGCTTTCCTTGACTCACTCTCTGCTTGTCAGGCTTTAGCCATACTGGCTCATTGGTTCCTTGAACCTGCCGAGCTTATTTTCCTGCCTCAAGGTCCTTGCACCTGTTATTCCTTATCTGGAACACCATCCTCCCCTCTTCACATAGTAAGTGGCTTCTCCTTCAGACATCAGCGTGAATAGCATTTGCTCTGAGAGGCTGTTCCCAGTCACCCAGTCTAACGGATGTTGCCTGCTAGTCTGCTCCCTTTTTTCTGCCCATCTCCTCTACTACAACTTCAGCTTCTTGAGGGCAGAAGCCAGGTTCAGTTCATTCCCTACTAGACACAAAGAGGCTGGCAAATAGCAAGCAGTCAAATACTTATTCAGGCATGCATGCATATATCCATATAATTCATAAAAAGAATCAGTAAGCATTTCTTTGAAGTGCTGTGTGCTGTACGCCTGTCCCTTTAGAGTTTGCATTAGAGATAACCATTTTTCTAGTTTGATTCCAAAATATCTTTCCAACGGGACTCCTGAGCATTGTGCAAGCATTAGAATGTTATAGAAAGATCATCCATTTGGAAGGAACATGGCAAATATGCAAATATTTTATTCATTCCCTTATGTCCAAGCAGACTTGCTTTTAAATATCTCCAGAGAAACTGTAACGTCCTTTGGGTAGTATGTTTGGTTTCTTGGTATTCCTAATGCTCAAGAATCCCAGTGAATTACTTCTACATTCTTCCTGATGGAGTTTATTATAGTTTGTTTCTTTCTTTATAAAGACCAATCACTCATCACTATCAATTGCTATGATTTCGTGTTTGAAGAATTAATGATCTTTTTTTCTAATTACTTATTTCTTTATAATTTTTAAGATAGGTTGTCATTTTTGCAACTAAAAAATAAGTATATATACTATACTCATATTTTAGTAACTTTAAACATGAAGAGATATTGTCTTTTAGATCAGCCCCTTGGTATAGTCTTCTAAGGCAATTCTTTAAACATAATTATAATTGTAAAAAAATTAATTCATAGTAAATATTGCTTACAGATTGATCTAAAGAATTCAGACTACTAACATGAAGGATACTTTACATTTTTAAAGAGCCTTTTATTGTGGAAATGTTTAAACACACGCAGAAGTAGGCAGAATGAGCCCTCTCCTGTACCCAGGCCCCAGGCAAGTTGTTGACATTTGCCTGTCTTGCCTTAGCTATCTCAGCTCTCACACAGGATACCCACATGCAGGCTTTTTTGTCTCTCTGAAGTATTTTAAATTGCAGACATTATATCATTTCACAATAAATTTTCAGCGTGTATCTGAAGGTAAAGTTCATCTCTAACAGCAAAGTTAAAAACAATGTAAGTACTTTACTGTTATCACACCAACAAAATTAATATAATTCCTTCATATCACCTTATATCTAGTCCATGTTCAGATTTCCTCCAAAGGTCTCAGAAGTGTCATTTTACCATTGAGTTTGCACAAATCAGGATCCAGTGAGGTCCACACATGGCCTTTGCTTTCTGTGTCTCTTAAGGCTCTTCTGACCATCAGTCATTCCTTTGTCCCCCTGCCCCTTGTATGCTGTGCCATTTGTTTGAGGAGTAGACTGTTTGCTCTGTAGAGCTCCCCATATTCTGGATCTGTTTGCATCCTCTAGGTATTCCCTTCAAGAGAATTGCAGCTGAGTCTGATTGTACCTCTAGAGCTGAACATTATGGGAGTACTTCTTATCTTTTAAACTTTCTCATAGTTGCCACATAGAGTCTTAGTGAATTTTGAACAGAGCCTTGGCTGGTATGTGGCATTACAGTTAGCAGGAATAAGCAGAAGTGAAGTGACCTTGGAAAGCTCCACTTGGCCCATAAGCGCTAACACTGTCAGGAGACTCTACTTTTGTTTCTTGGCTATTAGATGGGACCTATCATGGGAAGGTTGAGGTTGTGGAAATGTATCTTGCTTTTTCACACCACCTTTCTCTTTCTTTCAGGATTTTCTTACTGGAGTGCAATGTGAGAGAAGTACGAGTTGCTGTGGCCACCATTCTGGAGAAAACCCTAGACAGTGCCTTGTTTTATCAGGATAAGGTCGGTCTCATTTTTAAAACGTTATTTATACACTGTGTTTTTACCAAATGTTTTAAATTGCAGGTAATAAGAAAGAGCCTAGGATTGGAGTCTGGTAATTTTGCCACATAAATACACCTTCTGTGAACTGATTTTTGGTACATGCCAGGGAGAAGGCATTCTGTCCCTTCCTCCTCACATCCCAAACACCAGGGTAGGCCAGGAATTCAGGCCTGCTTTGGTCTGCGTTGGGATTTTCTCTCTAGAAACACTCCCTTTTCAGAGTCCTTTCTCAAGAATTTGTATTAGATCTCTCTGAACTGAGACTAATCTGTGTCTAGAGACTCATCTAGGCCAGCAGACATTTTGAGCCACCTCTGGCTTTGTCTTTTTCCTCATAAGCTATTTTCCTGATCTAAACCTGCAGCTGGCAACCAAACCAAATAGTGCTATTCATCCAGGGGCGTTAAGTCCTTACAGGTACAGCAGTTACTTCCCAAGATTGCTGTTTCAAACAGCTGACACTACATGGAAAACTTTGAAAAATGTTATTTTCACAACAAATTGGCTTCTTATAAACATTAGCTGGAGGCATTGTGCCTCAATGAACTAAATACAGATTCTAGGAATTACTGCTTCAAATGCAGATGTTGGCTTTGCTGTGCAACTTTGAGCAAGTCCTTTAAGGAGGATGTTGATCCAGATACAGTGCCTGCCACCCAAGCACTTAGTTCCATGAACAAGGCAGTCAAATATGCCCCTTAGGAAGGTCCTCAAAGACTGTATCTCAATTCCGGGAATCATTAGGAAGTTGAGGTTTACTGTAAGGCAGTGGTTTTGATCAGCTTAAATAGCAGAACCATTTTTTAAACAAAATCCTACCTAGATGCAAAATATAGAATACAAGCCACAGGAGCAGCTGAGGACAGTTCAAATGCCATTGCTCCATTCCCTGTGGAAGTTTCTAAGATGCATCAAGAATCCTTAACATAAGGACCATATCACTCTCCTCCTTCCTCCCATGTACCAACCCAAACAAAGGATAAAGGCAGAGTTAGTGCAGCCTCCCTAGAGATGGGGTCAGGCCGTAGCATATTACCCACCAGCCTCTAAAGGCAGGACAGCAGGCGGCAGAAAGAGAAGGGAATGGCGGCCATACACTTGGAAGCCATTTGCTCAGTGAATTCTGTCTGATGCCCAGCTGATGGATTTTCATGTCTATTTGCCCCCCTCCCCCCGTAAATGGAAATGGTGCCTCTTGCCACCCACTTTATCTTGTAAAGTACTTTGAAAATGAAGTGCTATGTAAATGCTAAATTTTACTGTATTTATAATGGGTGTGACAGGATGGATGGGAATATTGCAGAAGTATGAATACCATCTTCAGAGGAAACGAACTAATGAGAGTAGTAAGCCTGGTCTTAAATCTAGATCACAGATGAATTTCTAGGGACTTGTCCAAAAACAGTTGGGGTGGGAGGGAAAGAAGAAGCAATGTCATAACCAAAATGGTTTCTAAACAAATAAAATGTTTTTCAAAGCTTTCCATGAGGCGTCAGCGGGCTCTCAAGTAAGTTCACGGCTGAGTCGATATCACCGTTGTCATTCTGTCAGGCTGTTGCTATCCATTTGCTCCATCGGCTTGGTTTCCAGCCCCTATGCCTGTGTCTGTGTTTTTTATTCTTTGCATCTGTGATTATGTGAAGAAGTAACGTAGTGGAGGGAGGGATTCAGAAATGTCTTCCCTAAACACCCCACCTTTTTTTAAGAGACAGAGAGATACTGGCTCTGGAGAAAATGTGACTCAGCGGTAGAATTGATGCCCTTGACTCTGAAATCTAGGAACTGAAACTAAGCTTTTCTTTTAATTATTGCTATGGTACCAATCTTTCTCTGGAAGGTAAAATGGATAATTCTGTTTTTGCTCTTCAAAGCATAAGTCCATCTGAATCTGAGACTGGATTGTATCAGACTTTCCTTTTGTTCTTATGGTGGTTTACCTCAAATTAATCCTGTTATAAATGTCTGTCTTACGTTCTTTTTCTTCATGTAATTTTATCTTTCCTCTAACCAGTTAAAAAGCCTTCATCAGTTACTGGAGGTACTACTTGCTCTGTTGGACAAAGACGTCCCAGAAAATTGTAAAAACTGTGCTCAGTACTTTTTCCTGTTCAACACTTTTGTACAAAAGGTAAATAATTTTTTTCCTAATATCTTTTCCTAATACAGAAGATTTATACTCTAAAAAATTTTTAGACTGGATAGTAAAGTTCTATATGGTATGTTTTTTATGATGTTTCTTCCTAAAAATCTTGTGAATTATATTACTTGTAAGAATTCTGATGAGGTGGGTATAGTTACTCATTGATAGCAGTAGAAGTCTGCATTAAAACTAGGGGTTAATTGTTTAGTAGTTATTGTGAAGCAATGTGAGGCTCAGGAGTTTTTTTAATTAGATTTTAACAAGTACTTTCTATATGGAAATAATATTCTTAAAAAATATATTGACTCCTTAAAACTTTCCATTTAGCTGTGTTTTTAAAACCAATTTTTGTCTGGATAGAAATATAATTTGTTATTCTCAATATCTTGTGACAGCAAGGAATTAGGGCTGGAGATCTTCTTCTGAGGCATTCAGCTCTGCGGCACATGATCAGCTTCCTCCTAGGGGCCAGTCGGCAAAACAATCAGGTAAGGACTACTTTTATATCCCTAGTGGAATAGCTATGGTTTTCATAGCCGCTGTGTTTCTTTTTGTAGGTGATAAATGTTTTTAATTTCATAAAAGTCTAAGTAGTAGTACCATAGAGACTTGAAAATTCTTTGGAGTTAAATTATCTTTACAACTTCTTCATACAATTTAGTCTAATAACCCATGGAAATTACTAACTAGTGACAAAGTCATAAGAGGGAAAGGTGGATTCTGACTGGGGAGGGGGTTTCAAAAACCTTTAGGGAATAGGTGGTATTGGGGTCTTCTACTTCCTCTCTGGGGCTGTGAACAAGGCTGTCTTGGTGGTGGTTCTTTTAAGTCAGATGCTGAAAACACAGCCAGAATCCAAATGCAAAGTTGTGCTGTTATAAACTGAATGATAGTGCAGATATAATACTCTTGTTCAAATGAAAAGGAAGTTGTTTGGGTTTTTTTGTTTGTTGTCTGTTTGAGACAAGGTCTCACTCTGTCACCAGGTTTGCTGTCACCCAGATTGGAGCACAGTGGTGTAATCAGGGGTCACTGCAGCCTAGACCTTCTGGGTTTCAGTGATCCTCCCTCCTCAGCCCCCTGGTAGCTGGGACTATAGGCACATGCCACCGTGCCTGGCTAACTTTGTATTTTGTATAGAAACAGGATTTCACCATGTTGCCCAAACTGGTCTCAAACTCCTGGGCTCAAGTGATCTGCCCACCTCGGCTTACCGAGGTTGTTTTGTTAGAATAGTGTTGAATATGTCCAAAACCAACTCTCCTGTTTGAAATTGCTTTATTGCAGTGTTTCTCCCATCCATCGTATTTCTTTTATTTGATAGATTCAAAATACATGAAATGCTAACATGCAGTGGTAATAAGTACTATTTATGGAGTACTTATTATGTACTTGATACGACTGGTCACTTTATTGTGGTATACTTTTGATACTCACAGTTCATCAAAATTAAGCAGCTTCATCCCCATTCTCAGGCAAGGAGTAAAGCTCAGAGATGTTAAGTAAGTTGTCCAAGGTCACAAAGCTAATGCATTGGTGGAGCAGGGATTCAGACCCAGCTCTGCTGGTGTCAAAGCCAGAGTCTTTTCCCCTGTGTGTAAACACATTACACAGGCATTTTTCCTTTCCTGCTAAGGGAGACAGATTTTCGACTTAGGCTTCCTCTCAGCTTTCTCTTTAGTGTTAAAAAAACAAGTACTGACAGCATCACGTGCTCTGTGTGTGGATACTATGTTGAAATTTACAATATCCCTTTTCCACTTCAAACTCTTCCATATCCAAGGCCCCATTGTCACTAGCAATTAGTTTAAATTCACTATAATTCAGCTGCATGTATAATTAATACTATTTTGCATTTGTGGAGCACATTTCTACTTTTGAAAACATTTTCACTTTTAATATTTCATTTAGTCCTCAAAATCACAAAGTAGGCAGAATAGGGAGGTGGCAGGTAGCCTTACCTCTGCCAGTACATGAAGAACTCAAGATACTGTTGTGGTGAAGAACTCACTCACATTACGCGGCACAGTGAGTGGTAGAGGCAGGGCCAGACCTGCAGATCTCCAGCCTCAGAGTTTTTCCCATTATACTGAGGCACGTTGTAAGCACTCAGTACCTACAGTGAATCCATAAAGGGACTGGTTTTAGAATATGAGTTAATATAACCCTTTGAGCTGGCTTAAAACCTGTGATTTTTTTGTACCTTGACCTCTTCTGTCAAGCACTGAGAAATAATTAAAGCCCAGAATATTATGAACCAGCAAACCCTGTCCCTTCCTCTTCATATTATTTCTGACGACAACACTAACAGCCACTTTATCTTCCCTGATGACAGATACGTCGATGGAGTTCAGCACAAGCACGAGAATTTGGGAATCTTCACAATACAGTGGCGTTACTTGTTTTGCATTCAGATGTCTCATCCCAAAGGAATGTTGGTAAGCTTAACATATCTTAGAATGAAGAGATACTGAATTTGTCTAGCTTGGAGAGTAATTATATTAGCAAGTAAATGAATGTCTCTTGTTTCTCATTCGACTACTTGCTAGTTGAGGTGCACTTAAAATTTTTGTTTTAATTCATGTTAAACTTTATAATATTTTACTAGTTTGCCATAAGAGAAAGTGAGTCATCATTCATTTGGGAGAGGTGAGAGGGTATATAAGTATTTTTTTTAAAACAACTCTTTAGGATTAAAAGCTAATTCAGAGCTCATTTATCACCTTAATTTGAACCACTACTGTGTGGAAAATAGCCATGGTGTGGGCTGGAGTCTCCTAGTTTCGTGAACCTGACCGTTCTGATCTTCAGTGCAAAATGAAAATACTCAAAACATAATTCCCCAGGTATAATGAGATAATGAGATAAAGTACTTTGTAAAAACAAAGGGGATGCAGATATAAATTACATCATTGAAATATATTTGAATGTAAGATACAGTTGGTAGCATTTTCCATTTTGTCTCCCAGAACTAATAACACAGTCATCATCCAATACAGCAAAACCACAAATTGTCCTATATGATTATCCAGTGTCCTAACTTATGTGTGTACTGTTTTTATACTCTTCCTGGGTCTTGTCATGATAGTGACAACAACCATAGTAATAATACAACAAACCAGCTTTTCAGTGTTTTCTGTGTGCTGTGCTTTAAATTTATTGTGTTTAAAGCACACAGTGCTTTAAACTTACTGTGTTTGATCCCCGTAACAAACCTATGAGGAGTATTCATCCTGTCTATGGATGCAAAAACTAAGGCACAGAAAGGTTTAGTAACCTCCACAAGGTCATACAGCTAGTTAGTGGCATAGAAGCCAAGGCATGAATGCAAACTCAGACCCAGAAGCTACTAGGAAGATCTAATGGCAGGAAACTAAATAAAAACACAGAGCATCCTTCTGATAGAGAAATGCTTATTGACTCTCTAAAGGGACATTGGAGGAACACTCAGGTGGTTGTGTTATAAGGCAGAGTCTGCTTACTAAACTCCAACTCATCTAAAAAGACAAAGCTACCTAATTTTGTGAGTTCAGACAATTTTGTAACGAAAATTAAAGTATGCATTCTGGTTTTTCTAGCAAATGAAATAACTCCTTCTATATGGGTTGATTCTGCTTAGCATAGGTGGTGTTAGCCATTATTTGAGAACAGTTGTTTGAGGAACAGAAGTGTCTTCTCCACTGTATCTTCAGTGGCAGCTTTCGGCAGTATTTCATAAACTATTTATATTTTTACCTCTTTGAAAGATTATGGAGTGGGAATCACTAGGTATCCCCCCTAGACTGTGAGGGATCCGCTGTGTGAGTACTCAGTGTGTTTGTGAGTACTCAGTGTGTGTGCGAGTACTCTGTGTGCGAGTTCTCTGTGTGTGCGAGTACTGTGTGTGAGTGCTCAGTGTGCACGAGTACTCTGTGTGTGAGTACTGTGTGTGCAAGTACTCTGCGAGTACTCAGTGTGTGAGTACTCAGTGTGTGAGTACTCTGTGAGAGTACTCAGTGTGTGTGCGAGTCTTGAAGGAGGCACATTTTCTTATGGATGTGTATTTTGTGGAGTAACACCAGGTGAGACAGGTTCTGTTTTGTTTCTTTGGTCTCCTAAAGCTCCTGGCATATTTAAGCAACGACCACCCATTAGCATTGCTCCCTCAAGCCCTCTGTTGCCCCTCCATGAGGAGGTAGAAGCCTTGTTGTTCATGTCTGAAGGGAAACCTTACCTGTTAGAGGTATGTACTTGTTATTCTAAAGCCATTTTTTTCCCTCCTGTTTGAGGAAAATTGCTTTTTGTTACGAGTTATGTTTGGCATGAAGAGTATTGTTAAGAAATGGTTCTTTCAAATTAAGTTTTCTTATATGTCAAAAAGAAATAATTAGTGGAAGAGAATGTTATTAGTCTTCTGTTCAGCCAAGGTCCAGACCTCCAGGTCCAGCCCAGCCAGCTACCCATCAGGGCCCCAGAGGGAGGTAAATGGCACTTCATCCATCAAAATCATTTCGTTAATTGTAGAGGGTTTCATCCCCAATCTCTTTTGTGTGTTCCTGGTCCTGGAATACTACAACTCTGAACCACGTGTGTTGTTAAACCTCAGGAGTGTGGGTGGGCTGCTCTCAGCTCTCCATCATGGTGCCTGTGTGGCTCATCCTCAATCCAACCTTCCCCTTCCAGCAGAGCCGCCCCCAGCTGTGGACTCCATCTTCCAGTCCTTCTTCCCTACCTGATTTACAGATATGTGAATCTATGAACAATATAATTCTGGTTTTTTTTTTTAAATTAACAGTGTTGTGCTATTTAATACATATCTTTTTTTTTTTTTTTTGCTTAATATTTTTTGGATCTGTTGGTGATTATTTTAATTGTGGGAGCTTTTGCCTTTGAAAAACTGATGGAAACGACTCCTGAAAAAGTGCACATTTGCACAAAATTGTGTAAAATTTCAGACAGGCTTAGACACCCTGAAGTCTATCTATAGACTTCTAACAGTTAAGAAACCCTGTTTTCAGGCAGTGTTAATTATCTTAAAATCTGGGTAGATTTCAGTTAAAGGCAGCAACAACAGATGGAGTGTTAACTGTGACATGAGAATAGCTGACTGTGTTATGTCTTCCCACCAGGTAATGTTTGCTTTGCGGGAGCTGACAGGCTCGCTCTTGGCACTCATTGAGATGGTAGTGTACTGCTGTTTCTGTAATGAGCATTTTTCCTTCACAATGCTGCATTTCATTAAGGTAAGACCTCAGTTAAACGAGTGATAGCCAGATAGCCTTTAAGTGAGACTCTAGGAGAGCATCTTTTTGCTCCAAGGCAGTATGCTTGTTCTCATAGCCTAAGTTGTTTTTCCTAATCATTCTAGTATAGGCTCAGTTTTATTCATTTTTAATCTTTAATTTTTAATTACATGGATTAATTACTACACTCTCTTTGGGAAAAATTTAAGCATAGAAATGAGGCCAAAAGAAAAAATATAGGCCAGGAAAATAATAAATAAATAAATAAGAAATGAGACCAGAGTCTACTGTGGTCATCACCAGTCATCCTTGCTCACGCTACCCCAGGGACCAACACTGTTACATTGATATTTCCTTCCAGGCCTCTTTATATGAATTTCCACTATGTATATATTAGTTTCTGCCCACAGAATTTCTGCATGCCTTCTTTTATGCACCAGTATTTATAGTGGTGATACATGTAGTGTTAACAAGAAGCAGGTGATTAGTGGATTATGTCTTTAGGCTCTTATTATAATATGTTTTGCCCTCAGCCTTTTCTCTACAGACCTATATCAGAGGAGATTAAGTTCCTCTCTTTGCTATTTACTAATTATATGACCTTGGGCAGTTTCTTCCTCTATGACTGACTTCACAGGTTGTGAGGATTCAGTGAGGTGGTATAATACGTGAAGTGCTCACTTAGTACTGTACCTGGCCTCTTGGAAGTGTGGTATTTTAACACAATGTCCTTTCCCACTTTTATACATATAAATTTTATTAAAATGGCTGAAGGAGTGTGTTCTATGAATTTTGCCTTCTTCACTTAGTATATCTTGGCACATTTTTCTATTTTATAAGCTGACTTTTTATGTACTTTGTTCATAGCATCCTTAACTCAGAGTATTCCCATTTGTATTCTTGTAGCTCTACCAGCATCTTCTGGAAAACAAACTAGGATATGGACATATATAAAATCGGATCTGTTTAGTGACTTGAAATCTCCCCTACTCTTTCTTTTCTTTTCTCCTTCCTAATTTCATAGTAAAGTATCAGAGTGTTGCAGCTGGAAGAACCTTAGAGGTTGTTTATTTCAGTTCCCAGACTTAGCATTTGAGAAACTAAGGCCTAGAAAGCAGTATTGACTTGTCCAGGGTCGGCCAGAAGGTGATAGAGCTAGAACGTGGATCCAGCATTGTTAATTGCCATTCCAATATGCTTTCCACTGAAGTTTTTATGCTTTTAAAAAATATTTCAGAACCAACTAGAAACGGCTCCACCTCATGAGTTAAAGAATACGTTCCAACTACTTCATGAAATATTGGTAAGTCATAACTGTTCTGACTCACTTTTATTTAGGAATGTATTAGTCAACAAGTGTTTATAAATAAAAAATTATATGTCTTTTTATTATTTCTCCATTCATTTGGTCTGCATTTATTGAGACCAAATCTTCGTGTCAGTCATGTGTCTAATGCATTTGGTTTAGAGGCGAGCAGTAATAAAACTACCTCCTAGGAGCTCACAGTTGAGTGAGGGAGCAAGACAAGTACACAAAC
The DNA here is from genome assembly GCF_000001405.40 of Homo sapiens. Taxonomy (NCBI): domain Eukaryota; kingdom Metazoa; phylum Chordata; class Mammalia; order Primates; family Hominidae; genus Homo; species Homo sapiens. The sequence continues at coordinate 55,076,999 of NC_000001.11, read as the reverse complement.
AACTGTAGTGCAGGGGACTGAAGGGGAGTGATAGTGATGGTTAACCCCTGCCAGGGCCTACAGTGGAGAAGGCATCGTGTTAGCGCAAATGATATTAGGTTTAAACTTCACAGTCACCCTCAGAGGTACATTTCTGGCTTTATAGTTTATCAAATCTTAGACACTATTGACTGTATGTACGTACTATGAAAAATATTTTTAAGAGCCATGAAACTGAAATGTAATCAATTGTAGGATTCTTTCCACTCTCAGAAGTGTGAAGAGCAGGGGAAAAAAAAATCCTCTGGCAGTTGTATTGAAGGATGGAGTAAAGAAGGATGCAAGATTGGGAACTAGAAGACCATTTAGGAGTCTGGGAATATTCTGAGTGTGAAATAATAAGGCCTGTGGTGGGGCAAGGGACAGACAGATCAAGAGGTATTGTGGAAAGAGAATCATTGGAATTTGGTGACTGGTTATGAGTTAATGAGTGTGGTTCAGAGGTTCCTTAGAGAGTGAGGGCCTGGGTTCCCTTCGAATTCTTGATACTCCATAGAGGCCTTGGCACAGAATAATCATTTAATAAAGAGTTTTGAGTAAGAAAAGACATCATAGATGCCATTTGTTAAAAGCTTATTTTTCAAGTTCTTTACTTCCTTTTGGTCCTAGTGCTTTTACAGACTTTGGCAGATTATTGCTCCTTAGGGATAGGACTGTGTATTGTTCATCTATCAACAACAAACCCATATAGTTTTTATACCATGCACAGTTCAGTACTAAGAACTAGAAATACAGCTATGATAGCAAAACTTCAATACATTTTTACTAAGCAAGTTAGAGCATAAACCTCTTATCCTTAGGATCATAAAGTATATGTCCTCATAACCCACAGAGAACTATAGATCTAGTTGATAGCAACACATAGATAGGAAATGAATAGACCTTTAAGTATAACTTAATAGTTTTTTCTCTTAGTTTTAAGATATATTTGAGATATGTGGCAGCCGTGTAATATTTGTTTGTATTGGGTTTTTTGTTTTGTTTTGTTTTCTTTTTTTCAAGACAGAGTCTCCCTCTGTTGCCCAGGCTGGAGCCACAGTCGTAGCTCACTGTAGCCTCAAAGTCCTAGGCACAAATGATCCTTTTGCCTCAGCCTCCTGTATAGCTGGGACTACAGGCACATGTCACTGTGCCCAACTAATTTCTTTTTTTATTTTTTAGAGATGGGATCTTGCTTTGTTGCCCAGGCTAGTTCAGAACTCCTGGCCTCAAGTGATCCTCCTGCCTTGGCCTTGCAAAGTGCTGAGATAACAGGCATGAGCCACCATGCCCGTCCTGTATTGGTGGTGGTGGTGTTGTTGTTGTTGTTGTTGTTGTTGTTGTTGTTGTTGTTGTCAAACACTAAATTAATCTCTTGGGTAGAATTATAAAGAAAGCACCCGTGGCTATGACAAGTTCCTTCTTTTATTTACTAATTTTTGTTTCTTCCTTTCCCAGGTTATTGAAGATCCTATACAAGTAGAGCGAGTCAAATTTGTGTTTGAGACAGAAAATGGATTACTAGGCAAGTATGCCTGGTCTTATGCACAAATGTCTATAGTAAATATGTGGATAATCTATTGTTCTGGCCAGTTCTGCCTCCTGCTACTCTCGGTGGGATCTACAGTGACTGATACAGTAGAAGTCTGGTCAGGGCCACTGGGCTCCCTCATTCTGGTCAGAAAAATTAAAACCCAGGGATCTTCTCACCCTACACATTTCTCCTCTTTTAGTCAGGAAGGTGTAGCTTGGGATTCTTTTACCAGATAAGGCAAGATTCAGGGGTGCTGTGAGTTTTTTTCAACAAGCTAACGGCCACTCCCTGATGCAAGAAATTTTTCATTCTACTCTGTAGCCACTGGGGAGAGAAAAACCAAAACCTGAGACGCAGGATGTTGTCAGGCTCATGAAATGTGAATGTCTTTTTACCTATAGTAAGCGTAACCATATTTTCACAGTCTACTCTTAAGTTGTTTGGGCAGGGCTTTCTTTTTCAGAAGGCTAAATTGGCTTTCCTGAGCTATTTATTAGAAAAAGTTTAGTTAAGAATAATTTTAGCCAGCTTCCACCATTTACCTGTATTTCCACTTAATCTGAATCATTTTAGATTTTGCTATGTATTAAGAGATTTAGGGCCTTTTTCTGTTGTAGAAAAAAGATTTAAGCTAAAAAGTTTTGTAGCTTCAGCTTTTCAGGCCACCCTTTGGAACGCTGTACTCTAGTCAGAGCCACACACAGGCCGTCTGGAACTTAAAAACTATAAACTCCTCAAGAGCAGGACCAAGTATTATTTTTTATTTTTATTTATTTATTTATTTATTTATTTATTTATTTATTTATTTATTTTTGAGACAGGGTCTCACTTTGTCTTCCAGTCTAGAGTGCAGTGGCATGATCTCAGCTCACTGCAAACTCTGCCCCACAAGCTCAAGTGATCCTCCCACCTCAGCCTCCCAAGTAGGTGGGATTATGGGCACATGCCATTAGCCCAGCTAATTTTTGTATTTTTTTGTAGAGACAGACTTTCATCATGTTGCTCAGGCTGGTCTCAAACTCCTGACCTCAAGTGATCCACCCGCCTTTGCCTCCCAAAGTGCAGGGATTACAGGCGTGAGCCACCATGCCCGGCCTATTTATGTTTAAATCCCTAAAACATAGAGCAGGTGATAATTGCTGAACTGACCCTAGCATCATAAAATTTCATTTATCAATCTAAAAGTACTAGAACTACTCTCAGTAATATGATATGTGGAAAAGTCTCTAGGTGAATAATCAGGCAGTAAAAAGTTTTGTTCCTGTTCAGTTCTCCTAAAAGTCAAACTTGCAGCACCATGTATGTTTTTTTTGTTGTGGTTTTTTTTTTTTTTTTTTTTTAAACATACTTAAAGTAGTGTTTCCACCCATTAGAATTTAGGGATTCTGTTGAGTCAGGCACCACCATGCTTTTAGTTAAGTTGTTCCTTATCTGTTTATTAAAATAGTTTGTCGATTTTTAGAACAAGAGAGCTTGTTGTCACTTGGAGCCATTTTCAGTTGAGTCTTTTATTGTTAAAATGTCCTTTTCTCTTCCCTCAGCTTTGATGCACCACAGTAATCATGTGGACAGTAGTCGCTGCTACCAGTGTGTCAAATTTCTTGTCACTCTTGCTCAAAAGTAAGTATTGAATTAAAATGCAGGGAGGAAATGGTGTTTTAATTACAAGTCACATATGAGCAGAAGGGGAACATGTGCCCGGTTTTGATACCTGGAGAATCTGACTCAGTCAGGGCCTGCTTGCTTGGAAGGTACAGAAACCTATTTGCATGATCTCAAAAAAATATGAGGGGAAGTATTAAAAGAGTGACAGATCTTTATAGAATCCCAGAAAAGCTCACCCATCAGGCCTTATGTCAGAAAGGCAGGAATCAGGGCAGATATGGAGGCTTTAAGAGCAAGAGTTCATGAGCTTTCACTCAAGGTTTCTCATTAATGTAACCCAGCTACCAGCTCTTCAGGCTCTAGGTCCCTAACCTCAGAATAGCCTTTCAAATCATGTCACCTGTAGCTCCTGAGCACTTGTGAACCCAGGCACCGTGTCAAGAACCTTGCCTGTATTATCTTATTTCATCTTTGTAACAACTTCATGAGGTTAGTACAGTTGTGAGTCATATATCATGGGTAGTTTAAGTGACATGCCTAGAGTCATAGAGTGAAAACTTGAACACAGGCTGATTGACTGCAAAATGAAGGTTCTTTTTTTTTTAATTGTGGTGAAATGTACATAACATAAAATTTACTATTTGAACCATTTTTAAGTGTATAGTTCAGTGACTTTAAGTACATTCACACTGATGTGCAACCATCACCACCATCCATCTCCAGAACTCTTTTCATCTTCTGAAACTGAAACTCTGGACCTATTGAAGACTGACTCCCTATTCCTCCCTTCCCCCAGCCCCTGGGGGAAGCAATTGTAATTTCTGTCTCCATGAATTTGACTACTCTAGGAACCCCATTTAAGTAGAATCACAAATATAAAGACAACTGAATTTTAATGAAACTAGCATTTACGTTTCAAAATGAAGCACTAGGAACAAGCAAAGAAAGAATTTGGCTAATAAAAATCTCCTCGGTCATCAGGTGTCCTGCAGCTAAGGAGTACTTCAAGGAGAATTCCCACCACTGGAGCTGGGCTGTGCAGTGGCTACAGAAGAAGGTAACTGAACATTGAATTTTTCTAGCTGTAACATAGGAATCAATAATAGCACATCTTGTCAGGAAAAATCTCTAGAACTGAATATGGAGACTGACCTTAAAGTGTTTTCAGATTTCAAACATTTCTTTGCTACAGTTTATATCTTGTGTGCATTAAATTTGTCCTAATACATATGTCTTAACTTCATAGGGGAAAAGGTAGGGATGATGATATAAGAAGCAATACTTGACTGAGGTCTTGAATCGCTTTATGTGATGGAAGGTCTGGGTAGACTTGTACCCTACTTGGGATGCTTTTAAGACTCAATATCTAATGGTAGAAACTGTGAACCCATGGGGGCTTATTTGTCACCTCTGATGGCATTTTTGACCTTTCATCTCAGATGTCAGAACATTACTGGACACCACAGAGTAATGTCTCTAATGAAACATCAACTGGAAAAACCTTTCAGCGAACCATTTCAGCTCAGGTGAGAGTTGTCTCTTGTTTTTGCGTGGTCTAAATCACTTATGGAGGATTTTCAGTGTGTTTCTCAGAAACTGCAACCTCTGAGAAGAGAGGTATGAGTTGAAGATGAGAACAAGCAGAAGAAACAATTGGATTTCTATGAAAAGAAAACAGATTGGTGTACACTTACACAAATTTGTGCAGATTATTTGTCTAGAAGGAAAGTCATACAGGTTGGGCAGTCTGGTCACAAAAAGGGACAGGGGTTGAGGGGGTTCTGGTGACTGTGATGAAGGCCTCACTCTCAGGCCTCCGGTCCCACTGAAGGTCAGATGAAAGGTAGTCTTCCCTGGCGGTTGCTGCTGCCACTGAATGGGCCCTAACTTTGTCGTCTTGTGTTTGAATCTTCTGCAGGACACGTTAGCGTATGCCACAGCTTTGTTGAATGAAAAAGAGCAATCAGGAAGCAGTAATGGGTCGGAGAGTAGTCCTGCCAATGAGAACGGAGACAGGCATCTACAGCAGGTATAACGGTCAGCATGTCCTTGTGTGCAAAGGGCAGCCTTGCTCTTAAGCTTTCCAAAAAGAATTTCCACAGCTGAGGGAAAACAAGATGCTTCCTCTGGAATGTGAGTCCAAAGAGTTACCAGCGCTGCCCTCTAGTGATCTCAGCTCAGCATATGCACTAACCGTGTGTTTACAGGGCTGAGTAGTGCTGCAGTGTGAAGTGAATGGAAGGCCTCGAGGTGTTTGTGGCTGGCCACCCTGATCAGCCTGCAGGTAGTCCCGATGAAGCCAGGGCACAGGGGGATTCGTTCCAGCTTGTTCACTTTATTCTGCCTTGCCAGGTTACTGAAAGTCCCTCGTTTGCTCTCACCAGCCTTCCTGGAAATGTGGACTCTTGAAAGAAAAGCTCCCGTGCTCTTGAAGTATACCTGCTTGCCAGGGGAGTCCAAGAAAATTTTGACATGTATTTTTAAAAAAAGAAAAAAAAACAGCTTTAATACCAATCATTATAGTAGAAAAAGAAAATAAATATGTATTGAACACCCACTGTGTGCAAACACTGAACTAAGTGTCAGTTAATCATTACGTCTTTCCAATAGTCTGTAACTTTCCTTAACAGCAGTCTCCTCTGTGGTCCCTTCACAGTACTTGGTACAGAATAGGCCCCATTAAATGAATGTTACTGATGTAGTAGGTGTCATTTTTTTTTAAGTGTTATCTTTCGGATCCTCATAAGCACTATGTGAGGCAGCTGTCACCCTGATTTTACAGAAAGGTAACTGCAGCCCAGCACAGTGATGTGACTTAGCCCAAGGTCACTCCACACATTACCTCATCACCTACTTCATTTGCAGAGAAAATAAAAGCTGTCACAGGAGAGCTCCTGCGGCCACTAATTCCCAAGCATCTGCACTGTTCTTGTCTCCTCTCCTGTGACAGTGGGAAGTTTGCCTCTGTCCACCCAAAGCCCCTAGCGCTCATCCCCGCCCACCTTGGCAGAGCTTTGCGTTCTAATGTGTATGTAACTCTTCAATATCCAGAACGCTCCACCCTGCCAGACCCTTCCCAGCGACGTCTCAGCACACTGGTTTCTCTTCTGCCCTGTCAAAGCCTCTCTTCTGCCCTGTCAAAGCCTCTCTTCTCCCTGTTGCCCCTGCCTTCTTTTCTCTTCTTTGCAGCCAAACTTCGACTAATTCTCTAAACTTAACTTTCCCCATTTTCTTATCTCTCACTCGCTCTTCAGCCTCTTCCCTGCTAACTCCCTCTTCTCTCCAACTCAGCAGTTGGGGTGACAGGTGGCCTGCAGCTTTCAGGCCTCATCTTAGCCGACTGCTCGGCAGCATCTAGCGCTCCTGGCGCTCTTCCCGTTTGAAACACTATTCCAGGGCTTTCCTGACACTTCTCTCTCGTAGTTTTCCTCAAACCCTTCTGGCTGTTCCTTCTCTGTCTCCTTCCTAGTACTGCCTCTTCTGGACCACCAGTAAAGGTTTGTGGAGTCTCTAACCTGTATCCTCCTGCCCTCACTCCATATTCTCTCCGCACCCACCTTGGATTTCTGAACATGAACATCCAGCTCTCTTGTTCTTGACGTTCTCCACTTGGCATACCTTAAAGACCTCAGACTCGATGTGCCCAGCCCCTCCTCCCTGCGCCCACCAAAGCTGGCCCTCCGTCAGTGTTCCTTATCTCACACACAGCACCCCCATGTCATCCCGGACAGCTCCCTTTGAAAGGGTGCTCGTCCCTCTCCTCCACCTGTCATCAGCCCCTCTCTGCCTACATCTGTAAGGATCCCCTCACCTCCACCCCTGCTTCTCTCTGGTTCATGCACTAAAACCTTTCAAAGGCTTTGTATGAGGAGAAAAGCCAGAATCCTCAACACAGTCCTGCTTGATCTAGCACCTGCGCACCTCCCCACCCCCATTTTCTGATTTTTTTTTTTTTTTTTTTTTTTTTTTTGAGATGGAGTGTTGCTCTGTCACCCAGGCTGGAGTGCAGTGGTGCAATCTCACCTCACTGCTACCTCCTTCTCCCAGGTTCCAGCGATTCTCCTTGCCTCAGCCTCCCAAGTAGCTGGGATTACAGGCATAAGCGACTGTGCCTGGCCCATTTTCTGAATTTTATTTATCAAATGTACTCTCTTCCTTCCACCTCAGGGCCCCCCTACTCACCCCCAACTCTCACTCAGCTTAGGTTGTCACTTTAGAGAGACTGTCCTTGCTCCTCCCCACCCCAGCTCCAACTAGATCAGCCCCATGGCACACGGTGAGTATTCAGAACGATTCGCCAAGTGTGTAAGCCAAAGGCCACACAGATGGTAACAGAGGTAGCCTTCAGACCCAGGAGTGACCCAGAGCCCATATTTGGCAGGTGCAGGGCAGGGAGGCTCACACAGTGCCCAACGTGAAGCGGGCACAATGGCCATCAATGCCTCTCCCAGCTTTATCACTGCTCTGCGTTCTCACATGGGTGCAGAGTAGCATTGTGACTTTAGACAAGTCGCTGGGTTGTTTCACTGACTAAATGAGATCATAGAAATGTACATGTTTTACATAATCATGAATTGTCAAATATTAGATGTAATAGTTATCACATTTTATTACCCTTTGATAAACATTGCATTAAGTTGCCAGATGAAGACATGTTTAAATTGCAGAACACAAGTCAGCATAGAAAACCTTTTCTCTAACCGTATGAACTTTAACTTCCTTTTCTTTTCTGCAGGGTTCAGAATCTCCCATGATGATTGGTGAGTTGAGAAGTGACCTTGATGATGTTGATCCCTAGAGGAACATGCCCAGCCTGAGAGGAGTCAAGACACAATACTGGATGCTCAGCACCTTCTTGGAATCAGAATCTCGAACCCTTTGGAAGAGCCTGGAGATTGGACTGGGAAAGCTGCTGTGACTTGGGCGGATCGTGTATTTCTCAAGGAAAGCATTTTTAAGCCACTAGAAGGTTTGGGAGCTGTTTGGCAGTGGGAGAACTCCGGCATGTGGATCAGCTGTCCCGGGAGCGTGGTCTATATGTGGATTCACATTTCTGTGGAGATTTTCGGAAATAGAGCCAGTGGCAGACTTTTTTGTTACACGAACATACAAGAGTGAGCATAAAGCTGTTGCTTTCTCTACGATGCTACAAAAGAAATTCCTTTGGTTTTTATATTTTAAGAAAAAGCAAGCTGCTTTTAGATATGTGGGGGCAAATTTTTAATCTTGCAGTAATATTAAACAGGAATATCCAATTTAAAATGATGTAAAGATGTAATAAAATTCCTTTTCATTGTAAAATAGTAATTAAGTCAATTTACACAGACCTTTGTATTTAATATGTCTCCCTATTTGTATAGAATTTCAGATGGGTCTAGATGAGAACCCTATGCATAAGCTTGGATCTTGATGAAAGGTTACCAGGATCAGGATCAAAAATTGGGAAATACTAAGCTCTTGAAGATATTTTTCTGATATAATTAGATTGAAAAGAGCAATTTTGAAAATGCTGTGTTCTCCAGAAGTACAGGGTGCATTATTTGACATCAATTACTTAAAGAAGTTATGAGTTGTTCCCCAAACAGATTTTAAAAACAGCAAAATAAAAGCACTTTAAGATATAATTTTACTGAGTTTAACTTCACAGAATTATCTTTTTAATGCTTGGAGACATATTGAATAAACTGTAGTCTTAAATCATGTGATCTGCAATCGTTTGCTTTTGCTTAAAACATAATTACTGAAACCCTTGGTATTGGTTGTATATGAAGTTAACTATTTGAGTTGGTACACACTGCTTGTGAGTTTCATAGTTATTGTAATGCAGAGAAGGAATTTGAGAATTTGTTTCTCCTCAACATGACTAATTAACACTGAAAAGTCAGTCAAGGTTTAAGATTTATTTTCCCAGAAATAAATATAAAGCAATTGAATAACCATCCATTTAGTCGTATTTCCAAAGTATAGCACCATTCACTCATTTATACCAGCTCCCTTTTATGGTGTGGGGGAGAGGTTTACACCCACATATTTCATATATATTTTGTACATTTTGTATTTTGAATTGCTCACATTTTCGGCCCTGTTTTGCCTTTAGTTACAGGTCCTGCCTTATTTTCATCTCACCATGCACAGAACTAGGGAGCCTTAGGAAGTGCCAGGTTTTCACTGTCAGATTTGCCAAGTCACAGAGGCGCAGCCAGCCCTGAAGTGCCTGTCTGGCTGCTGTGGCATTGTGTGGGCATGTGGCCAGGCAGATGGCATCTCATTACTGTGCTCTCGCCATGGCCCAGTCTTTTCATTCTCTGGCAGTGAGGGTTTCTGTGCTGTCAGACTTCATTGTTATTCTGTGACTTGCTGGAGGTTGGCAGTGGCCTTTGTCAAACACACTGAGAAGATGGAAGGGCCAGCACTTAAGAGCAGAACTGTACCCTTAGAGAAACGGACAGAGGCGAGTGGCAAACTTCAGACGGTTCCAATGGTCTTGCAGTTTGAAATGTGATGTTCTACCATTGGTTTTGAGTACGTGAATACTTCCTGTCCTACTGTTTCCCCTACCCTATTCTCACCTTCTCTCCGCCCACATCCTCACCAAGAGATTGTGTGGGACATGACCTTGAAATGCTGGCGATGATCCACACTGGGATATCATCGCTGGCGACTGCACTCTCAGGAGCCCAAAATCAGGAGTGAAATTGCCACTTCTAGTCCCCTTATTTCCTATGGAAACAACGCCTTCCGCACCCCTAGCACCTGCCGTCCTCACTGTAAAGCTTCATCAGGATCGTCCACCGTGTATATTATACGCTTCAGATCATGTTGCTTATATTGTTGCTGCAATGACCATCGTTTTCACTTTGCTGGTAACCACTTGATTGCTGACAGCTACAGTCAATGAACCTGCTGATGACTTTTTTTAATGTAGTACAACAGTGACAGTTATGACAGGCTTACCTTGGAAGAGTTGTCATTTTTACTGCCAATTTTTTGGATGAAGATGTTTTTATAAACCTTTCAAAATGGTCTGCAAACAGAGCAGGAATTGCACAATTAACTCAATAATGCTGTGTGTTCTCAAGAAGCTCCCTTAGTGAGGCCGATCTTAAGATGGCCGATTCTGCCCGTTGAAGGCATCCTGGGAAAGAAAACAAGCATCCCAGCGGGCATCTCACCACGACTTCTCCTGGAGTCCTCACACGGTCACTGACAACTACAGTCAGTTTTAGGAACTAGAGTGCCGTATCATCAGACTTACCCTGTCCTGCCCCACCTTCCCTGCTAACATCGAGGTGTGTGCAGTTACCTTCTGAGCTTGGAACAAGCAGACTGGAATTTTCCTCTGCTACCTCTTGTGTATAAAATCTTGTTTATAAAATTTCAAAAGGAAGTAGATACACTAGGGAAGAACCTTAATTCTAAATTTGGTTCATGTGTGGCAAAGTTCTTAGCTTCTAAGAGTATAAAATAAATTTTTCAAAAACAGAGTTGGAGTCTTGCCGCCATTCTTCATATATCAGAACACAGCCGTAGTGGGCGGGGGAACACGAGCCTGTGCCTGGTGCTAAATGCTGTTGATTCCTCTTAGTACTTTACACTAATAAAGGGGACTGTGGGTCCTCTGAGCCTGTTGCTGTTCTTTTCTCTGGAGGGGCTGACCATTTCAGGATTCATCTGCAAAGCTTAGAGGAGGATGCTGAACTTAGGTTGATGGTCTCCATTCATCTCCACCAAAGCTTTTGGCTCTCCCAAGTGGTCCCCAGCATAGATCGTGTCGCTGGTCACACTGGGCTTCTTGCTAGATCCCACAGGTCTCAGTCTCATTCCTAGTGGCCAGCGTTGCTCACATGGGTCCCCTTCCCTATTTGCTAGTCCAGATTTTCGCCTTCCTGCAAGCCACACCCCTTCCTCCCCGATCCCTGGTGACCACCTGCTAACCCTCTGCAAGAACCAAGTTGTTCCAACATCACAGAGCTGTCAGGGTGTGGATCTCTAACCAGCTGATACTTGATTCTGTGGAGGGGAAGGAGAGAGAGTCTAGGGTTGCACCACAGGCCTAGGTTCCAACGGGCAGAGATAACACAGTTGGGTGTTCAAGCCATTGCCATCTGTCAACTCTTGAATGCTTTCCATATATGACACTGAATTGTCAGAAAATGTAATCTGGGAGGAATTTTGCCTGAGATTCCTTATGACATGGGCTGTCTAGAGAGAGAGAGAACTTGCTTAAGACAGCTATATTCACCAGCCTTAGAGTGGAGGGCCTGGAGGTCCCACATTGAATGGGATCATTATGCACTCTGTAACCCAGGCTGCAGTGCAGTGATGATGTAATTACAGCTCACTGCACCCTCAGCCTCCCAGCTCAAGCAAGCCTCCCATATCAGCCTCCTGAGTAGCCGGGACCACAGGCATGTGCTACCACACCTCGCTAATCTTTTAAATTTTTTTATAGAGACGGGGTCTCACTGTTGCCCAGGGTCTTGAATTCCTAAACACAAGCAATCCTCCTGCCTCAGCCTCCCAAAGTACTGAGATTACAGGTGTGAGCCATTGCACCCAATCTGAGACTGTTCTGAATTTTAAATCATGAAAAAAGCCATGGACTTAGCACTGGCTCATTACAGAAGCATCTGGCACTGTAACTTATTCCGTAAATACTCGGGCCAGGCTGTGTGCCAGGTACTGGGGAGAAAAGAATGAAAAGGGCATTGGGAGGTCAGGACAACAGAGCATCTAGAGTGCTGTAGGGCACCTGTCACCAAGGAGGAGGCACTTTGACTGTCAGGGTGGTCAGGGGAGCTGCAGGAAGACATTCATTTCATTCCTAGGATAGGCACAAGGAGTAAGTTCACATCACCAGTACTTGCCCAATACTTGTACTCAAGATAAAAGTACTCATCAAATACTTGGCTTACTCAACTATTCAACAAACTTACCCAGTTCCTAGTATAAGCAAGGCATCACCCTAGGCAGTCAAGTCTATGCAAGAGTTAGGACAACGTTTGTTTGTTTTTATTTTAAAAAGTCACCATATTAATAAAAATGCTACAAAACCCAGAATAAATATCTTCAAGTTACAAAAGCAAAACAGGTCTAGAAAAGTTGGCTGTAAAAAGGCAACAGAGAGGACAGACCCAAAAGATAAATGTCTGCTTGCTTGGGTGGGGCTGGTGCTCAAGGAGGGACAGTTGTTGGCCCTCTCCCCCGACCATGCCTTAGAAGCATCTCCGCCAGGCCAGTGAATCAGGCCTGGGTGATAACGGAAAAAGTTCCATGCCTGCAGGCATCGTTCTGCCATCACTCACCGAGCTTCCTGGTCTGTGTTCCCCTTCCCAGCCTCACTGTTACCCGTAAAAATGAGGAGCCCAGCCGGGTGAAGTAAGAAGAGGCTTGGCTTCAGAGCCAGCCCAATCTGCGTTTCTGGCTCAGTTCCTGCTGTGTGAGCTTGGCAGGCACGCCCCCTCTGGTTCCAGGTTTCTTCCTCTGTGAAGTAGGGGTGCGAATGTGTACCCTGCCGGGTAGTGGAGCGGGTTGGCTGAGACAGTGCATGCACCACTGCACACTGCCGAGTCAGTCCTAGGTGATGGCTCCCCGCAGGCCACCTTTGGGTGTTGCTAGCACAGCCTGGCATAGAGCAGAGTAAAGGTGGCTCAGGAAACCAAGGCACAGCCTGTGACCACCAGGGGCGCACCTGTCTCCAGCCTCTGGCTAGATGCCATCCAGAAAGCTAAGCCTCCATTAATCAGGGAGCCCCCAGGGGCTTCTCCACAGTTAGCTGGAGATGAGGGCCATCAGCACCTTTCACACTCACCCCCCAACGATGTTTGTCCCTGCAGCCCCTACCGCCCCCTCCCCTATCCATGGGAAGAATCCTGCCTCCTTGGTGGAGACCTGAGGATTGAATGCCTGGCACGGAACAAGAGCTCAATAAAAGTCATTCTGCCCACGGACATCGGCACATTGGGAGCAGCTGGCAGCACCCGAGCACAGCTCGACCTGTTTGAATGGTGAAATGCCCCACAGTGAGGGAGGGAGCTTCCTGGCACCTCCACCTGGGGAGGAGGCACCCAGAGTGAGTGAGTTCCAGGCAAGGAGGCTGCCCCACTCAAGGGCCAGGCCAGCAGCCCCGGAAAGGCGGAAGCATCCCCATCCCCTCGTGCCAGGCCATGGAGGGCTGAGAGAGGGACAAGTCGGAACCATTTTAAAGCTCAGCCCCAGCCCTTGACCCTCCCCAGACACCCATCCTGGGATGGGGCTGTCACTGGAGCTCCTGGGAGGCCTGCGCCAGGTGCCGGCTCCGGCAGCAGATGGCAACGGCTGTCACGGCCCCTTCGCTGGTGCTGCCTGTAGTGCTGACGTCCCGGCTCCTGACTACACACGTGTTGTCTACGGCGTAGGCCCCCAGGACGTGGGAGGTCCCAGGGAGGGCACTGCAGCCAGTCAGGGTCCAGCCCTCCTCGCAGGCCACGGTCACCTGCCAGAGCCCGAGGAAAAGAAAGCACATGTCTAGCGTGGCCCGGGACCCCCACCCACACTTCATTTCTCCCTCCGACATCCTTCTGTGAGGCCAAAGTGCAGACGGCCCTCGCTGGCTCAGAGCCCATTTGGGACACAACCGTGTATCTCCCACCCCGCACCTCCCACCCAGGCGGTTCTGCACCATGGCTGACCAAACACGTGAGCTCCTGCTTCATGCCTGGTTTGAGGGCCGTGGAGATAGACAGATGCCTACCATGCCAGTGCCAAACTCATCCCTCTGAAACTGATGGCCCCATAGCCTGCCCCATCCCACTTAATGGCAACTCCATCTGTCCAGGGGCCCGAGCCTTGGTGCCATCCTCCCCCTCTCCCACCCACATCCACCCACCAGGCCTGCAGGCTCCCTTCAGACTCCAGCCTGAGCCCCGCCCCAACGCCTGGACCCTCCACCGCCTCCCTCCAGTCTCCCTGCTTCTGCCCAAGGTCCTTGTCATCTCTTCTCAGCTCAGCAGCTAGGCCACAGTGAGAGGTTCAGATCCAGGCCAGACCACACTCCTCTGAGGCCAGACCCCTGCATGGCCCCAGCTCACTGCTGACTGTGACCCTCAGGTCTCACCTGACTTGGCCCTGTCCCCTCTGAGGCACCCCCCATCTCATAACTATTCCCACCTCTCTGGTTTCCTGGTACTCCCTGCACATCCCCACCTGGGGGCCTTTGCTTTGCCTGGAACATGTTCTCTGCCTCATGGCCTGTTTCGTCCACCTTGTCAGCGAGACCTCTCCTGACCTCTCTCCCACCCCATTCCCTTCCTTGCTATAGTTTTCTCCATCGCATCTTTTCAGTACTCTATATTAATGGTTTGTTTTCTGTCTTCCTCCACTAAAATAGATGCTCCAGGAGGGAGAACAGCATGTCTCTTGGGCCTGTATCCCTCCCCAGTGCCAGGAAGAGCACCTGGAACCTAGCAGCCCTCAGTGTACCCAGGGCAAGTGGATCCAAGACCAAGACTGTCTTTTGCTCTCGAGGAATGCACCATCCAGACCAGAATCAACACAGACTTGCATTTTAAAACTGACTCTGAGTTCATTTAAGAGTGGACTCCTTAGGGCTGCCTTTTGAGGAGCTCCTACTGGCTTTTAAGGAGAGTTATACACTCAGGTTTCTAGAAGGCCCGGCTGTCACATTCCAGGGCTTGGCACATGCCTTGCTAATCTCGGCAGGGCCTTTTCTTGCCTTGCTGGTCATGCTAACAACCTTCAGCATGCAGCTCAGGCACCCCCTCTGGGTCACGGCTGAGTGAGCTCTGTGTCCTCAGAGCCCAGTGCTGCTCCTGACCCTGAGACCCTCCCAGCAGGTTTGTTAAATAGATCAGAGAGGCCAGGTGCAGCGGCTCATGCCTATAATCCCAACACTTGGGGAGGCTGAGACCAGAGGATTGCTTGAGCCCAGGAATTTGAGACCAGCCTGGGCAACACAGCAAGACCCCATCTCAGAAAAAAATAGATCAATCAATAAATGCATGCATATTGCATTTCTTTATGCCATATTTATGCACATTCTACTCCAAGTGGAGTGGGGTACCCAGGTAGCAAACCTTACTGATCTGGACAAAAGCAAAAACAGACCCAGCCACACAGAGACACATATACATGCTGTCCACACAATGGCGGAAGCTGCCCACAGCATCTACCTGGCAAACCGCCACCCTGATGCATGGCGGTATGGTGGTGGCACAAACTGACACAGAAAAGCTGTGCAGGAGAGACACGCAGCACCCCACCCACCCGGCCTCACGGGCCTCTTCACCTGCTCCTGAGGGGCCGGGATTCCATGCTCCTTGACTTTGCATTCCAGACCTGGGGCATGGCAGCAGGAAGCGTGGATGCTGGCCTCCCTGTGGCCCACGCACTGGTTGGGCTGACCTCGTGGCCTCAGCACAGGCGGCTTGTGGGTGCCAAGGTCCTCCACCTCCCAGTGGGAGCTGCAGCCTGGGGCAGAGGAAAGCCAGCTCAGATGTGAAATGCTGGGATGCTCCGTCTCCAGTGCCCATCCCCATCAGACCCTCTCTCTTTAAGGTCTGAGGCAAGAGCTAGGAAACCTAGAAACAACTCAAAGAAAAAAAGAGATGCTGGCCTGAGCACCAGGACTCCTGTGTTCTCAACTCTGCAGCTGACCAGCTGTGTGACCTTGGGAGAGCCATTCAACCTCTCTGAGCCTTAGTTTCTCAGGGAAAACACCATCTTTCCACCCAGAGATGGAGACAGTGAGGCAGGGGCTCTATGGCCTGAGATGCTCAAACTCCCCCCAGCCCCTCCCTATGCAGCCAGCAGGCAGAAGTTCAAGGGTAAGCCGGGGTCTGTCTGAACCACCTCAGAATGCCCTCCATGGGCTTAGGAGTCAGACACACCCATTGGCTAAGAAACCTAAAATAGTGGTTACTTAGCTACACTGAGGCTCTGTTTACTCATTTGTAAGATGGAAAGAGAAACCACACCTACTCACAGGGACACTGTGAAGATGACACGTGCGAAGCCCCAGCATGGAGCCTGGCATGTGCTCTGAACATGGTAGGGTTGTGGTTACTAGCATTCTCTATGTCCTAGCTGCAAGGGCTCGGGGCAGCCACTCAGCATGTCCAGCCTGCAGTTCCCTTAGCTGCAAAATGGTGCTCTTTGAGGTGCGCTTCATGGAGTCAGATTCCATGACTTCAAACTGACATGTGCCTGTGAGCTCATCGGCTGAGCACTTCCAAAGGGGAGCGTGATTAGAGCATGGCGGACTTCCCTCCAAGCCAGGACCCCTGAACCTGACGGAGCCTCTCCCCTGGACAAGGGCACCAGCCACCTGACTATGCTCATCTTTCCTGAACATCCATCCTACATGCCAGCCTGCTGTGCCCAGAACCAGGTTCTCACCCTCACTCTCCTGTTCCCAAACCCTCAGTGGTTCCCCTGGACGTGCTCAGACGAGAATCAACTCTGAGCCTCTTATTCCAGGCTGGAGTCCCACTGTCTTCCCAGACCTCTCATGCTCCACCCAACCAGAACAGCTCAGCCTCAGGGCACCATCCCTTGATGCCCCAAGAGGTCCCCATCTGTGACTTCCTGCTACCTGCCTGGGCATGTTTTCGACACAGGGTAGCCCGTCAATAGTTGCCTATACCAGAGGCTGGATTTTAAAGCAACGGGTGATGAAAACAATAGTAACGATAGCTAGAATTTATATTGTCCCGGCACTAAGCTAAGTGCTTAGCACTCATCATTTCCTCATACAGAGATGTTAAGTAATTTGCCCAAGTCACACAGCTATAGAGCGGCAGGGTGAAATTCAAACCGAGGTCTGCCCTCCTTTCAGCCCCAGCCGGGGGCCTCTCTCTGGAGCTGCCTCTCCTGGACTGCACCACCTTAGGCAAAGCACCTGCGATACTCCAGGCCAGTGCCCTAGATGCTGCCCATCTCCTTGCAACACAATGAGGCAGGTAATACCTTTTTCCCTCTTATGGAGGAGGAAGCTGAGATGAGGAGAAGTAAGGTCACCTGCCCAGGCTCAAAGGGCATGGAAGTGGCAGAACCAGAGTATGGAACTGCAAGTCAGGCTTGAGTCTCATGGATCACACTTGTGAGGACCAAGCCTCGCGGGCAGTGGGTGCATAAGGAGAAAGAGACCCCTCCTCACCCCAGGGCAAGCCCAGCCTCCTACCTGTGAGGACGTGGCCCTGTTGGTGGCAGTGGACACGGGTCCCCATGCTGGCCTCAGCTGGTGGAGCTGTGTGGACGCTGCAGTTGGCCTGGGGTAGCAGGCAGCACCTGGCAATGGCGTAGACACCCTCACCCCCAAAAGCGTTGTGGGCCCGGCAGACCAGCTTGCCCCCTTGGGCCTTAGAGTCAAAGACGGAAATGGGAATCTGCTTTAGAATGGGCTTTGAAAACACAGAAAGGGACTAGACAGGATCAACTCAAGCACCCTCATCAGTGTCCCTGCCAGGGGCCAGCCAGACCCAGCCTTCTGGGGACAAGGAGCTCACTCCTGCCCAAGGAAGACTGTTCTGCCAGTGGGCAGCTCTGAATACTCAAAAGTTCTTCCAAACACAGAGTGGTTTCAAAATGGAGATAGAGAGAAATCCAGGAGGCCAAAGCAAGGATCCAGCCAGCTCCACTCCACCCACTCTGCCTCTCACACGAGCATTAAGACCCCATCTCCTCAAGCCAGAAATGCCTGCCCCTCCTCACTCTCCTAGCTGGGCACTGCCCTTCCACCAAAATGCTGCAACCAGATGGCATCTGTGCACTATCCTGTAGCATCAACATCAATTCCACTTTTTTGCTGGTTTGAGATTTCTCAGCTCCCAGAACCATGGAGCACCTGAGTGAGAGGGGCCTAGAGATGGCTGAGTCCAGAGTAGCAGATCGCTGACCCTCACGCGGCCCTGCCGCACGCTCACACCCAGGTGAGCATTGAAAATCCATCCAGCACTGTCCTGCAGCCTCTAGGAAACCCTTCCCGCTGTGGCTCTCTCCAGCAGCCCCCAGCCGCGTGAAGTGAGGAGTGCCCCACTCCTGGTCTGGCCAGCCCTGTAAGCTTACAGAAGAGCTGGAGTCTGGAGGATGGAGGGGCTTGCTGGGGGTCCCTGAGGGCCCAGCACTGACACACACACACACACACACACACACACACACACACACACACACACACACACGAAGGAGGGGTACAGTCACCTCCATGCGCTCGCCCCGCCGCTTCCCACTCCTGGAGAAACTGGAGCAGCTCAGCAGCTCCTCATCTGGGGCGCAGCGGGCGACGGCTGTGGCCATCCGTGTAGGCCCCGAGTGTGCTGACCATACAGTCCTGCAAAACAGCTGCCAACCTGCAAAAAGGGCCTGGGATGAGGAGGGGGTGCTGGGAGTGAGGGGACCTCCACAGAAATCTTTAGTTCATGGTAGGAGAGAGGAGGGCTTAAAGAACATACTCAACTGTCTCTATAAAAACACGTTATGAAAATATTGCACAGCCCTTTCAGAGCCCCATTCTCATTTAATCCTATTTAAGGTGGCGTCATCCTCCTTACACAGACAAGGGAGAAGGGAGAGACTGTCAAGGTCACACAGACCTCCCAAGCCCCAGCCTGGACTTGCCCACCCTGCCATCCTGCTTACCTGCCCCATGGGTGCTGGGGGGCAGGGCGGCCACCAGGTTGGGGGTCAGTACCCGCTGGTCCTCAGGGAACCAGGCCTCATTGATGACATCTTTGGCAGAGAAGTGGATCAGTCTCTGCCTCAACTCGGCCAGGGTGAGCTCCGGCTCGGCAGACAGCATCATGGCTGCAATGCCTGGTGCAGGGGTGAATGGTGAAAGATGGTGATGGCCCGGCCCTCCTGCCCCAGCAGGGGACTCCTGCCAGTGCACACACGCACACACATACACACAAACACACGTGCACACAGACACTAAGCTCTCTTCTCGAAGGTAAGCCGCCTGCAGTCCTTACTCAGTGAGGTAAGACAGCCTCCTCTCACACCTCTAAGCCTTGGTAGTTGCTGTCTTATCGGCCAGGTGAACTCCTATTCATCCATCAAGCTCCCGATCAAATGTCCCTCCTCCAAGATGCCTTCTCTGACCCTCGGGCTGGGCAGGTGCCTCCTCTGGGCTCCCTCTAATACAGCCCTGACCTCGTGTTTCCTCTGTGCACTCGCCTCCCTCATCAGACTGAGTGTCCTTGAAGGCACCATCAGGCCTACTTCATCTCTGGTCCCCCTGCACAGAGCCTGGCACTGGAGGTCCCGGCACAGACCCTGACTGCCAAAGGGGCTGTTAGCATCACGGTGGCCGAGGCAGTGGGGTGGTGACTTACCAGCCACGTGGGCAGCAGCCTGTGATGTCCCACTCTGTGACACAAAGCAGGTGCTGCAGTCGCTGGAGGCACCAATGATGTCCTCCCCTGGGGCAAAGAGGTCCACACAGCGGCCAAAGTTGGTCCCCAAAGTCCCCAGGGTCACCGGCTGGTCTTGGGCATTGGTGGCCCCAACTGTGATGACCTGGAAAGGTGAGGAGGTGGGTGGCAGAGAAAGGAGCCCAAGAGAGGGGTTGCAGAGGCAGACTCAGGCCTTGCCAGCTGGGCTGGACAACTGCTATACACCTGTTTGGGTCCCACTCAAATGTCCCCTCCTAAGGAAAATCTGACTGCCCAGGCAGAACTCTGGCACCCCTGCCCCGCCCTGGTGCTCCCCTCTGTCCCTACCATAGCCAGGCAGCATTCCCAATGCCCCTGTGGAGTTTACATCCTAGTGGGGGAGATAGGAAACTATTCGGTGTATCAAGTGGTTCTAAGTGCCACGGGGGGAAACTGAGAGGACAAGGCAGAGATGTGTTGGGCTTTGTTTGCTTGATGCCTTTAAATTCGGCCGCCAGGGAAGCCTTGATAGGCCAGGGGGGACCTAGGTTACCGCTGTCAGGTACGCATCTGCTCTGCAACCCCCACCCCCAACGCGCGCGCGCGCACGCACACACACAGACTTGAAGTTCCAGACTTGAAGTGGAACAAGATTCCTTCCCCTAGATACCCGCAGTGTCCTGACACTGGAGGAGTGGTGGGTCAGAGGAGGGACGGTCACTGCCCCCCAGCTCCTCAGGGCCGAGGCTCCGTGTCTGTGTCCCCGCAGCCACACTGCACCGGGCATGCGGCACACTCTGTGGATGTTCCTCGGGTGAGAGGTCTGAGCCCTCAACCGCTCCCATTCACATTAGCCTTGCTCAAGTTGTCAGTCATGGAGCCGCGGAGAGAGCTGGACAACAGGGAGGCCCAAAGAGTATTGGGCAGAGGACGCAGGGCCTGGGGATGGAGATGGGGAGGGGGCGGGTACCAGAAGACCTTCAGGAGGGAGAGTGGCCAGGACGGGGTGTGGGGGCGTGGCTACGTAGGCGCCGCTACGTGGGCGCATGGCGGGGCCACTGCTATTCAGACTCTGCGATGATGGAGGTTTCGAGCCCCTTCCTCCCCAGCCTCCCGCATGGCGGGGGTCTCTGACGACTCCTTCCAAAGCCAGAAGGGTTCGGCCTCCAGGAACGTGCCACAAGAAGCCCACGTGCCACAAGAAGCCCGCCTGCCCGCCCGCCCTCCCTCCGCCCTCCGCCCTCCGCCCCCTACCCGCGCCTTGGGGCAGCAGCCCCAGCACCTACCTCGGGAGCTGAGGCTGGGGAGTAGAGGCAGGCATCGTCCCGGAAGTTGCCGGCAGCGGTGACCAGCACGACCCCAGCCCTCGCCAGGCGCTGGCAGGCGGCGTTGAGGACGCGGCTGTACCCACCCGCCAGGGGCAGCAGCACCACCAGTGGCCCCACAGGCTGGACCAGCTGGCTTTTCCGAATAAACTCCAGGCCTGGGAGGAACAAAGCCAAGGTCACCCCTTGGGGAGACCTGCTCCCCTTTCCCAGCCCCTCCCTTACAGGCACAGAGTGATGGTTAATTTTGGGGATCAACTTTGTGGCCTGATGTTTGGTCAAAAGCCAGTGGAAATGCTGCTGCGAAAATATTTTTTAGATGTGACTAACATTTAAATCAGAAGACGGAGTAAGGCAGGTTACTCTCTATAACTTGGGCAGGCCTCATTTAATCAGTTGAAGGCCTTAAGAGAACAGACTGAGGCCTCCCAGGGAAGAAGGAATTCTGCCCCAGGACTGCCTTAGGACTCAGTATTGCAACATCAAATTCTGCAGGAATTGCCAGCCTGCCTGGCCTGCCCTGCGGATTTCAGACTTGCCAGCCCGCACGGTCACATGAGCTTGAAACTCTTAATATATACATCCTACTGGTTCTGCTTCTCTGCAGAACCTTGACCAATACAAACTGGAAGATATTAGCAATTACACCAGCAATCAAACTAGCCAACCCCGGGCCCTTCTCTGTGCCTGGCTCTGTCTAAGCGTCTGAATATACGAACTCAGGGGATCCTCACAATAACCTTATTATCCCTTTCCATGAAAGAGAGGCACCAAGAGGATGAGCCTCAGAGGAATGAGAAGGGCACACTTCCCCACCCAACTTCCCCCGCCACTCTCTGAGGCCTGGCTCAGATGCCCCTCCACCGTGGCCGCAAGTGTTGGACCCACACAAACTTGAACAGAGTCTTGGCTGCCCACTCACCAGCTGTGTGGCCCCGCCCTCTGTGAAACAGGGACAGTTGCTCCCAGGATTGTCTAAAGAATTAAAAGACTCCATGCCTAGGACCCCCCATACCATAACTCCCCACCCTTGAGGGTGTGGTTCCTTCTGGCCTCAGTGGCACTCCACTCCCCCATTTTGGTGCAGGCCATGGTCTACCTCATGCTACTGTCAACAGTAACAGCTCTTTTTTTTTTTTTTCTTTCCAGACGGAGTCTCGCTCTATTGCCCAGGCTGGAGTGCAGTGGCGCAATCTCGGCTCACTGCAAGCTCCGCCTCCCGGGTTCACGCCATTCTCCTGCCTCAGCCTCCTGAGTAGCTGGGACTACAGGCGCCTGCCACCACGCCCGGCTAATTTTTTGTAGTTTTAGTAGAGACGGGGCTTCACCGTGTTAGCAAGGATGGTCTCGATGTCCTGACCTCATGATCCTCCCGCCTTGCCCTCCCAAAGTGCTAAGATTACAGGCGTGAGCCACTGCACCCAGCCACCAGTAACAGTTCTAACCCTCTGCCAGCCTGTGAGCTCTGGCCCAGTGGCCTGGAGACTGGAGGCCTAACGCAGCTCTGGCCCTGATGTGCAAGGGGACCTGGAACTGACAGCTTCTCCCCTGTCAAATGAGGTGTGGGAGCCTTCTGGATCCTGGCCTCTAAGATGTCTCCAGGAGCCGTGGCCAAGGATGGAGCTGGAATCTCACAGCCATGCTCCTCCTAGGAGACAGCTAGTGAGGCCCCTCACACCACGGAGGGAGGGAGTGGAGTGGCACTGAGTGTGGAGGTGAAGAACAACAGCCACATTTACAGCTGCTAGTTATTTACTTATTTATTTTTGAGATGGAATCTCGCTCTATCACTCAGGCTGGATTGCAGTGGCACGATCTCAGCTCACTGCAACCTCCACCTCCTGGGTTCAAGCGATTCTCCTGCCTTAGCCTCCCAAGTAGCTGGGATACAGACACCCACCACCATGCCTGGCTAATTTTTGTATTTTTAGTAGAGACGGGGTTTCACCATGTTGAACAGGCTGGTCTCGAACTCCTGACCTCAGGTGATCTGCCCACCTCGGCCTCCCAAAGTGCTGGGATTACAGGCATGAGCCACCGCGCCCAGCCTACAGCTGCTAGTTATTAAGCACCTGCTGTGTGCTTATCTCTGTGCTCAGACTGGACACACAATCACCTGCTTACAGAGGAGGAAATGGCAGTGGCAAGGAAGGCAATAGTGACTGTTGAGCCCCTGCCCCGTGCCAGGTCATGCAATAAGGGCTTCCCATACACTGACTGGGACCCCAAAGAAGGGACTTCTCCAGGAAGTCCTCCAGAGGCCAGAGCACCAGGCCTGGGGAAGGCCTTTCTGGGAAAGAACAGCCTCCCCTCCACACACTGACCTTCAGGAACTGACCTGACTGAGCCGAGGTCAGTCAATAAAGGGGTGGGACAGGCACAAGGGGTCACCTGATGGGGCAGAAGGTTATTGATTCTTGCCTTTAAAACTGAACATCAAAACCTGTACTCTGTAGGAAAGTCTCAGGGCAGAACTGGTGGAGCACAGGGCAGACTCCTGGGCCTTCTCAGCCTTTGAAACAGGCTAGTGGGCTGCCTCTGCCAGCACCAGAGCCAGTGTTTGACCCTGGGGGCTGGGGCTTACAGTGGAAGTCAAGCTGCTGCCCAGAGCTGACAGTTTTCCCAGCGAGTTCCCCAGCTTGAGCTGTGCGACCCTGGCAGTCACCTCCCCTCTCTGGACTGGTTTCGTCAACTATTTAGCAGCTACGGCAAGGCCAGCCCCAGGACATGCTGTACAGAGGCCTTGCTCAATGTCTGGCCACAGAAGGAAGTCAGTAAGGGAGAGAACCCTCCCTCTTCTCTGTCCACCGGCCCCCAGAGTCCTAGTTCTCAACTGGACTTCATAGGGGGGCCGCTGGGTGGACTAAATGTAGTCACAGTCTAGAAAAAGTCCTCTGCCAGTTCCTCCACCACATCTGCCTGGCCAGTGTGACCTGCAGGGCCCAGTCATGCAAGTGAGTGAGTCCCCTGGTCTCAGAGGTATGCAAGCAGAAGATAGAAAAAGTTTGCTTAGATCACCTCGAGTCCCTCCACATTGAAGATAACATAACAAAAGACATAAAGACATCACCGGATTTTAAAAGGGGAGCAGTGTGGAACTGTGGAAAGGTCATTGACCCAGGGTCAAGGCTGAACTCCCTGGGCTACCTGCATGACCCTCTTGGGGCCTGGGTTTCTTCATCTGCACTCGTGGCCACTGGGAACCCTGCCAGCCTTGGCACTCTGGTTCTCTGGCTCTGCGGCAGAGGCTGCCACAGCATTCTTGGTTAGGAGACATTAGCTCTCCCTGGGCCCAGCCCAAGCCACCTCCCAGGCCAGGTCCAGATGGAGAGAGACCAGCGTCTGGGGCCATCACTTACCTATGAGGGTGCCGCTAACCGTGCCCTTCCCTTGGCAGTTGAGCACGCGCAGGCTGCGCATGCTGGCACCCTTGGCCACGCCGGCATCCCGGCCGCTGACCACCCCTGCCAGGTGGGTGCCATGACTGTCACACTTGCTGGCCTGCTCGACGAACACAAGGACCACATGAGAAAGACCCCCCCTCCACCCTATAACAAATCAGCAGGTGGCTGGATGGATGAACGCCCTTCCCACAACTGATGGCAGGGAGGGGACAGTGACAGCTGGGGGGGGTGCAACCCAGGAGTACAGCTGCAACGCTCTGGGGTGGCAGTCCCCACCCACCTCCAGGATGGGGATATGGGCAGAGGCAGCCCTCCCATCAGACGGCCGTGCTTACCTGTCTGTGGAAGCGGGTCCCGTCCTCCTCGGGCACATTCTCGAAGTCGGTGACCATGACCCTGCCCTCGATTTCCCGGTGGTCACTCTGTATGCTGGTGTCTAGGAGATACACCTCCACCAGGCTGCCTCCGTCTTTCCAAGGCGACATTTGTGGGAGAGGAGGGAATGAGCATAAAGTCAACCTTATAGTTAACACACAGAAACTACAGAGCACATCCCAGGCACTGGTGAAAGCGCCTTAAATATATTCACTCGTTTAACCTCCAAAAAATCCTCACACACTACATCCTATTCTATAATGTATTTCATAGACAAGGAAAGGGAGGCCTAGAGAGGGCAGGTAACTGTCCAAGGCCATCAGCTGGCAATGCTACTGCCAAGAAGGACCCAAGTCATCCTGCTCCTTCATATGAATATCAATATCTAACAATAATATGAATGTTCAAAAAATAGTATCAAAGTGTAAAATAAAGCCCCTATTATAGCCTTTCACAGCTCACCGAGTCTGCAAGAAAGACAACAAGATTTAAAGACTCAAAGGAGAATAACAGTGATGTCTGGCCACCTGCGCTGGCCGGCTCATTTTAGAGACAGGAAGCTGCAGCTCGGACAGGATGTATGTCTGGGCCTCCTGGCTCCAGGTCCAAGCGTTCTCCACTCCACAAGATACCAGGAGGGCTCACGGGGACTGCTTCTGCCTCACACGAGTCACAACCTCAGAGAAAACAGTCACCGAGCGCCTACCCTACACTTTATCATCCCTAACTGGATCAGTTTGGATTCTCCAAGAAGCAGGCACTGGGGTAAAAGCTGCAAGAGACTCACTGGGGGAGTCGCCCATGCAGGACAAAGGTTAGGGTATAGGAGAAAGTAGGGAGAGCTCACAGATGCCAGGCAGGTCCAGCCTGCTGGATGGAGAAGGGAGAGAGGAAGAAAGGAAGCAAGGAAGGAAGCACCTCCGCTCCAGCGCAGGTCTCAGAAACTCTCAGCCAGGCCAAAGGAAGACTTCAGGCAGGTTGCTGCTAGCAGAGTCCTGCGCCAGCGGAAATGGCCTGGCCCTGGAACCCCTGCAGCCAGGAAAAGCAGGGCCTCAGGTGGAATCAGAGGGCAGCCCTCTGGGCTGTCAGTCAAACTGCTCCTGCCCCAGGGTCTCCTGAGTCTTCTGAAGTGCCATCTGAACAGCACCTCTGTGGCCCCCGCAGTGATCCTCCAAATATGCTGCAGAGTAGAGATTCTCATCTCAGGACAGGTGAGCAAGTGTGGGAGGCTCAGGGCGTGTACCCACTTCTTATGGCTTCGGTCACAAATTCCCAGACTCAGCAGCGAAGGCTCTGGGAAGAACCCTGCCTCACGTCTTCCGGCTTCTGGTGGCTGCTGGTGTTCCCTGGCTTGTGGCCACATTTCTCCAATCTCCACCTCTGTCTCCACGTGGCCCCTCCTGTGTGTGTCAAATCTCCCTCTGCCTTTCTCTCATAAAGACACATCACAGGACTTACAGCCCACCGCATAATCCAGATGATGCCATCTTGAGATGCTTAATTACATCTACAAAGACCTTTTCTCCAAATAAGGTCTGGCTCACAGGCTCTGTCTGGGTGTGTGTATCTGTGGGGGCCACTATTTAGCCCCCTACAGAGCAATTCAGTGGCTGCTCTGAGATCCCACATGAATTTCAGGCAAGGTCGGCCCCCAGTCCCGCATCCTCCCACCCACCCACTATGCTAGTAGGTCTGGGCACAGTCCGAACTGTGAGTCCCCAGCCTGCACACACACTGTCTACCCTGCCCTAAGGCCTCCAGTCTCGGCAGGAAGCTCCACTGATCAGTCCCGTGGGCACTTTGGTTTCTTCTGTAGCATGCTGAGCAGGTCCTTGGCAGTCTGCCTCTCCTCCCAGGCTGTGGGATGAGGCGGAGTCCTTGCTCTCTGAGTGTGTTAGGAGCTTTCACTCATCAATAGGCATCTACCATGTGCCCGGTGCTACACTGGGAAGGGGTGGCTGAGAGCGCTGTGAGCTCCGACCTGAAGACATCTGGAGACCAAACAGTGCTCGCCACCCTAGAGGAACCACTAGATATTGAGCTGGGCTATGGAATGTCGAAGGGGCAGACACAAGACAAGGCCAGCAAGGTGGGCAGAGGCCAGATGGTGCCAGGCCCATAAGCCATGCTCAGTCTGCTCCTAGCAGAGGCCCCGGGCTGGCTGCAGGGGATACAGGTGCTCAGGAAGCAGCCCAAGGTTTTCCCTCAGAGCTTCCAGGCTGACGGGACAACTGGATACATTGGCAGACAGCCCGGGGAATACAGGCTTATCTAGAAGACAGCACAGAGGCTGCTTCCCTCCCTGGACGTAAGCCACACAACGCACATCGAGCAGAAGGCCTGCTGGGCAGGCTTCCAGTCCATGTTCCTCGTCGTGTGTGAGGAGGGAACTGAGGCTGCAGCTGAGTTAGCCCAGGTGAGAGTCCTTTCTGGTCCCACCCGTGCTTGGGACCACCATCTGCTCCAGGAGCTGTACCTGGGTTCTGCTGCAAGATGATGTGACCACTGTGGGGTCCCATCCCTGGGCCTGGGGTGTGGCCCCAGCGGCAGATGGAAGCTCGGGGAGGCAGCCCCACACCTTCTAAGTGCAGGCGGTTCCTGCCCGCTCACACCAGCCCACTGTCCTGCTGGGACAGGGTCAGGAGGCTGCAAGCATGGCCAGCAGAGGGCAGGTGGGCCTGGTAAAAGCCCCCACAGGAACATCCTTGGGCTTCCTTCCAGTGAGAGGCTGGAAAGGGGCCCAGCTCGGATGAGACACAGGGCCCTTCCTAGGCCTCCCTCTATCTTCCAAACCCCCGGGTGAGGCAGGGGCTGCTAGTTCCCTGTGACAGCGTGGCAAGGTGGCCTCAAGAAGAGCCACCACTCTCAGGGGCAAAGAGGCCTTGGAGTGGCCTCTTCCAGCCTCTGGAAAGCTCTGTGGCCTCTGGCAGGTGAGAGCCCAGTCCTGCTTGCATACCTCCAGAGCAGGGAGCTCATTCCCTCTCACCAGGCAGCCCTGCCATACGCCTGAGAAGCTCAGACTGTGGCCAAGTTCTTCCTTTCACATCTGACCTGGAGGCCACCCAGGCCCTCCTGGTCTCACCAGCCTCGGTCCCTTCTGCACAGGCCACACTCCCTCCTGCCTCACAGCTTCAATCCACGTTCATTCCACTGCTTGGACACCGTCCCCTTTGCCTGGTTAATAATGCCCCCGTAGGTCTTGGCTAGAACAGCGCTTCCTCCAGGAATCCTTTCCTGATCCTTCTGCTGGATACACAGGCTCGCAGCTGCCTGCACTCCTTCAGAGCTCTCAGCCTATCCAGAACTAATCTGTGTCAAGTAGCATTTGTTTAAGGAATGGATTAATCTTCTGGATACACTGTTGGGGGAAGAGACCACATTCATTTCATTCACATTTGTATCCCCAGCACCTAATATGGTGCCTGGCGCACAGTGGGTGCTCAAAACGTTATTATTGAATGGTAAGAAAAGAAAAATGCAGGGCTAAAATCACAGCACCTCACTCAATACCTGACAGAGAAATGCATGCTACAGCAATAACTGATTTAACCCTCCAAACAGCCCCCCAGAGTGAGGGTTATCATTACCTCCCTTTTGCAGAGGAACCTGAAGATCAGAGAGGGTGAGTGACGTATGCAAGGTCACACAGTTAAGAGTGCAGGGTCTGGGTTTGAGGGCGGCAGCCAGCTCTAGGGCCCATGCTTGTGGCCTCCCCATGAATGAAGAAGCTGCTGCTGGGCCCAGCCAGCCTGCCCCATGCCAGCCCAACAGCTCCAGGAGGACTTCCTCCAGCCAAGCCCTTGATATGACTCCAGAAGGGGTTCCACACCCCTGCCTGCCATTCCTGCCACCTCCCACAGACACTCGGGGGAAGCGGGAAGGGGGGCAATCCATGGGCATCCTATGGGGAAGAAAGGGCCCCACGTCTGCTTCTGGCCCAAGGGAGAGGAGGGAACAGTGGCTGCCAAAGAGATACACTCACATCCTAACCCCCACAACCTGTGGCTGTGACCTTATTTGGAAAAAGGGTCCTTGCAGATGTGGTTAAGGTTCCCCACATGAGATCATCCTGGAGGATCCAGTGGGCCCTAAATCCAATGACAAGTGTCCTTATGAGACAATGAAGAGGAGAGAGACACAGAGAAGGCTGTGTGAAGACAGAGGCTGGGATTGGTGTGCTGCCGCTGTTGGGACACGGAAGAGGCAAGAGAAGCTTCTCCCTGGAGCCCCCCGGGAGAAAGTGGTCCTGCCGACACTGATTCAGGCTTCTGGCCTCCAGGACTGCAGAGAATCAACTTGTTCCAACCGAGGGGGTGGTAATTTGTCACAGCAGTGCTAGGAAACTAACTTAGGGGGCAAGATCTTCTCAGTCCCTGCCTGGACTGGGGTCTCTGTGATCCTCTGCCAGTGTCCCTCTTGGTCTCTGATATTAGCCTGCTCCGGGAGGTCCCTGAGGCACTGATGTGGAGTACAGGGGGCTCCAGGGCTCCACTGAAGAGGTCTCACCTGGTTGGAAAGGAACAGGCTCTTCCTACAGAGGAGCTGTCCTCTCCCTGGCCACAGGCTGCCCAGGCCGGGTCAGCACACATGACCGACCAGGCCCCTCACTTCTGCTGCTGCCACCCTTGCCAGAGGATGTCCCCCACACAAACCCTTTCTCCACACCCAGCCCACCAGCTCTGATCTGTTGCAATGGCAGCAACTCAGACATATGCAAGGTCACACAGTTTGGGTGTATGCAAAGTCACACAGTAGCCCCCCAACTTTTCACTTCCAAAAGCATCTGCACATCCTTCAACTCATTGGAGTCTCACAGCAACCTGTGAGAAGGACAGGGACAGGGTTATGTGCCCATTTTACAGACAAGAACGACAAAGCTCATAGAAGAAAGTGGCTTCCCAAGATCCCACGAGAACCGGTAAGGGGTGAAAGCTGAGTTCACCCCAAGCTCTGCGTCCTGGCACCATGTTGCATGGACCCACCACATTGCATCATCTCTGCGCTGAGCTCCAGACCTCACACCATGGGCACCTCAAACTTAACACAGTCCAACTAGAACCCTTCATTCTCTCCTCAGGCCAGGTGCATCTAGAGTCTTCCCCGACTGAATTGCCACCTGCAAGTCCCTGCTAGAATGCAGACCGTTTTCCATGGCCGCTCCTCCTCCCTCCCTTCCATAGCCAGGCCACACCAGGCAGAGGGAACAGTGGAAAGAAAGGCCTAGAGGGAAGACACAAAGTGGCCCAGGCAGGGAGCCCCAGGAAGCCAAACGGAGCTGGAGGCAGGTGGAGCAGCAAAACAGGAAGGTAGGCAGAGGCATCCCAGACAGGGTTGTGTCTATCCCATTAAAGGATCTGGTCCAGTCTGCAGGGCACTGGGAGTTATAGAGGCCTGGGGGCCCTAGGTAGAGTCACCATCAGATGAACCCTCCTTCCAAGGTAAGTGCAGCCTGCTGGGCCATTCCAAATGGTGAGAAAAGGAAAACAAGAGAAAAGAAGGAAAAGAGGATCATTTAAGGCAAGACTTTTGCATTTGTGGGGCAACAGGAAGGCAGGCAGTGGGGGCTGCAGGGGATGGGGATGGGACAGAAAAAAAGGGGTCAGTGGAGGTGCTGAGTCCCAAAGCCCCCCGAGAAGTGGAAACCACCAGCAGGGAGGCCAGGCCAGGGCAGAGCAAATGGATTCAGCTCAGATGGGGTGGGGCAGGGCACAGATGGGGGTCTTACCGGGGGGCTGGTATTCATCCGCCCGGTACCGTGGAGGGGTAATCCGCTCCAGGTTCCACGGGATGCTCTGGGCAAAGACAGAGGAGTCCTCCTCGATGTAGTCGACATGGGGCAACTTCAAGGCCTGCAGAAGCCAGAGAGGCCGGGGGACTCTGCTTAAGCCATTTGGACAGCAGCAAACACAGCCACAGCCTGGCCTTACCTGATCAAACCTGTCCCCACATCCCAGCCCAGCAGCCTCCCACCTTGTCCCTGCTAGTGCCCCGGAGGACAGACTAGGAGCCTGAGTTTTCTCGCTCCTTGATCAGGCTGGGAGCCCAGCACTCCCATATCCCTGCAACACGGTCTGGCATAGAGGATTCCTTTTAGGAAGGATTCTGAACTTGACATCTTGTCTGGGAGCCAGGCTGTGCCAAGGCTCTGGGCAGGATGGACATGGAGTGAAGCTCAGGCCCTGGACTCCATGCCTAAATCATGACATAACAGCACTGGCAATTCGGTTTGTCCCCTAGTCTATTCTCCAGCCTTCTCCAGCCTGCTCAGTGCAAACTGCAGCACCAGCTCCCTTGCAAAGCTTCCAGTTGGGCTCAGCCAATGGGAGGCACTAGCAGGAGTTAGAAGGACAAGAGTGCATCAGCAGCTGGGAGCGGTGACTCACGCCTGTAATCCCAGCACTTTGGGAGGCCGAGGTGGGGGATCACCTGAGGTCGAGAGTTCGAGACCAGCCTGGCCAACATGGTGAAACCCCATCTCTATTAAAAATACAAAAATTAGCCAGGCATGGTGGCACACACCTGTAGTCCCAGCTACTCGGGAGGCTGAGGCAGGAGAATCGCTTGAACCCGGGAGGCAGAGGTTGCAGTGAGCTTGAACCCGGGAGGCAGAGGTGCAGATATGGCACCACTGCACTCCAGTCTGGGCAACAGAGTCTCAAAAAAAAAAAAAAATGGTGTGCATCTGCCCCACTCCCTCCCTACCTCCTGACTCCCTGCGCATGGCAGCGGTGAACCCTCGGGTGATTCCCCACAGGCAGCCTCTCCTCCATGCCACCGGCTCCAACTGGGCAGAGGGAAAGCTATTCCCTCTCCTTACCCTTCAGACCTAAGTGGTAACAGCCTCCTGCCACAACTAGTCCCTGGATGCCTTCGTATCCCCAGAGGCTTCTTAACCTGCCCCCACTTCAGCGAGTTTCCGTACCTAGCATCTGCTGAATGCTTCACGACCTCATTTAGTCCTTAAATGAATGTTCCAATTATTATAACTGGTTTACAGATAGAGGAATGAGGCTCAGAGAGGTGAAGGGATTTGCTCAGGGTTAGACAGCCAATAAGGGGCTGGGCAGGACTCGAACCCAGGCTGGTATGATGCCCAGTTTGAAGTCCAGCTCTCGATGGCAAATGCCTGCAGCCTTCTGTTTGCCTTCTGCTTGGCCTACTCTCCTCTGAGCAGCTGCCCTGGCCTGTGGGGCTCGTGCCTGTCATCTGGTGCTATACGGGTACCTTCTTCGTCTCTCCCCAAGGCTGAGCACATTGTCCCATAGTCAACTGTACTGGCAGTCACTGGTCAGTCTCTCCTCCTGAACTGTAAGCTCAAGGGAAAGGCCTGAGCTGTGTCATCTTCGCCTCTGCAGCACACAGTAGGCACTTGGTAAACGTGTGTTGAGCAGACTGATGGAAGGCATTGACTTGTCAGTCTCCTCTACTTAGACTACGGGTTTCCAAGGCAGGGACCCTGTCAATCCCTGTCATGGCGCCACAGGCCTTGGTATGAGGTAGCTGTTCAGCCACGGTATGCTGAGCTGATTAACCCATGGGGCAGCAGTGCAGTGCAGCTAGGAGACCCAGGTCCAGACTCCAGACTCTGACCCTGCCCATTACACGCTGTGTGACCTTGGACAAGACCGTGGGGCCTCACTGTCTGCAGGAGGCTAAGAAGCACCGCCTGCCATGTGGAGAATCAGTGTGAAAATGACACACGCTCTCATCAAGTTAGAGGCCAGGAAACGAGGTGGGCTAGAAGGTGGTGCAGAAGCACAAATAAAAACGTTTTTTTAAGATTTGAAGCACTAGGGCCAGGGTGAGGAGAATACCCAGTCCCCTTTCTGCCCCTCCACCGAAGATGTGACATCCAGGAGGGAGGAGGGCCACCCTGTCCTAAAGAAGGGACTTCACTCTGGATAGCAACAGCTTCAAAGGAATTTTGGACCCTAGAGTCATGCTTTTTTATAAAATGACTCAGGCTCCACTGAACATCCCAGGGCCTTGTCCCTACAGGTTTCCGTAGGCAGCAGATGCATTGGCACAAGAATGGCTGGCAGGCAGACCAATGGGTTTGATCCAGGCTCTACCCCTAGCTGTCTGTGTGGTCCCCTCTGAACTTCAGTCTCCTCGTCTTTCAAATGAAGATAGACGTACCACTGGGGCATGGCCAGGCTTAAAGGGAATTCTATACAGAAAGCCAGTAGTTACTGTGCTTGGTACCCGATAAGTGCTCAATACATACTTGCTGTCCCCTTCTGATTTTCAGCAATGGGCCTACTAAGCACAGTCCCCAGTGTATATGCAGTGGCCCAGCCCTATCAGGAAGTGCCATTCCCAAAAAGGGTGGCTCACCAGCTCCAGCAGGTCGCCACTCATCTTCACCAGGAAGCCAGGAAGAAGGCCATGGAAGACATGCAGGATCTTGGTGAGGTATCCCCGGCGGGCAGCCTGGGCCTGCAGGCGGCGGGCAGTGCGCTCTGACTGCGAGAGGTGGGTCTCCTCCTTCAGCACCACCACGTAGGTGCCAGGCAACCTCCACGGATCCTGGCCCCATGCAAGGAGGAACATGATGACATGGAAGAAACCCAGCAAACCCTAGGTGTACTTTATCTCACCCCTACTTACAAATTACAACAAAAGAGACACAACAGAGTATAGTAGATGATAAAGAAGTTACCAAATGCGGACCAAAAAGCAAATTAAAGAACTCATATAGGCCAACTATTATTATTCACATGGTTATATAACACTTTCAAATGTGCCATTCAGGCAAAAATGGGAACTACGGGCCACACTCGACAACAGGTTTTCCTCTGTACCTGCACCCAGCTCTCTACGGGCCTGGTCGCTCCTGGTGGCCCTGCCCAAAGGCCACCCCCTCCCCCATGCCCCAGTCAGAATAAATTGAGGGAAAAAATCATGGGCTTTGGAGCCAGGAAACCGTGGACCTGAATTCCAGCTCCAATATTTACTGGTTGTGCAGCCATGAGCAAGTCACTCAACCTCTCGGAGCCTCAGATACCTCTGCTGTATTGTAGAGACCACAGTACCTATGACATAGGCCTGCTGGGAAAGTCAAGAGTGACGGTTATATAAATCTCCCATCCAGATGCTCTACAAATGCAGGCAGAAGGGATGACTAAGTGAGCAAAGGCAACACTTCTTAAAGAGAGAGAAAAGTCAAGGCCACTGTCTTAGTCCTTTTGTGTTGCTATATAAAGGAATACCTGAAGGTGAGTAATTTACAAGGAAAAGGGATTTATTCAGCTCATGATTCTGCAAGCTCTCCAGGAAGCATGGCACCAGCATCTGCTTCTGGTGAGGGCCTTAAGCTGCTTTCACTGATGGCAGAAGGTGAAGGGGAGCCTACATGTGCAGAGATCAATCACATGGCAAGAGAAGAAGCAAGAGAGAAGAGAGGGAGGTGCCAAGCTCTTTTTAATAATCAGCCTTCAAGGGAAATCATAGCGGGAGAACTTACTCATTATCACAAGGACGGCACCAAGCCTTTCACAGGGGTTCCTCCCCCATGACCCAAACACCTCCCATTAGGCCCCACTTCCAACACTGAGGACCAAATTTCCACATGAGATTTGGAGGGGACAAACAAATTATAGCAGCCACTATCTATGGTGATTTGTTTGGTTTTTAGCTCTTGTCTGCTCCAACTGCTCTCAGGCAGACATACCTGCTTAAGAACCTTCACTGGCTCCCCACAGCCTCATGAATCAAGTCCAAACTCCATGCTCCTCCTTGGCCCCTACCTCAACCTACCTTGCAGCCCCATCACCCATATCTCTGTATATATGCATCTTGGACTCCAGTCAGAGTAGAACAGAGTCCACCCCCTTTACCCAAAGCCTTAGGGCCAAAACGGTTTTGAACCTCAGAACTTGTTTGGATTTTAGAAAGGCAGTAATGGGCAATCAGAGTCTGCTTGGAAGAATCTGGAGCTGCATACTGTAATCTATGCAGCAAAATATATGAATATGCATATTCACACAACTAAATTAAAAATAATCTCATGTCAGTTCACGTCAGGTGCTACCATCAAATAAATCACAAAAAAAACTTTTGGTTTTCGTAACATTTTACATTTCAGACGGTGGATAAAGAACTGTGGAGGCCAGGCGTGGTGGCTCACACCTGTAATTCGAGCACTTTGGGAGGCTGAGGCGGGAGGATCACCTCCTCGGATCCACTGAGGAGGTCAGGAGTTTGCGACTAGCCTGGCCAACGTGGTGAAACCCCTTCTCTACTAAAAATACAAAAATTAGCCGGGCGTGGTGGCAGGTACCTGTAATCCCAGCTTCTTGGGAGGCTGAGGCAGGAGAACCACTTGAACCCGGGAGACAGATGTTGCAGTGAGCTGAGACTGCACCATTGCACTCCAGCCTGGGCAACAAGAGCGAAACTCCATCTCAAAAAAAAAAGAAAAAGAACTGTGGACATGTGCTCCTTATCTTCCACCTCTGGTTTTCCCAGCTCTGTATCTTTGTTCATGGTACCTCCTAATCCTAGAATAAAATTCTCATGACACCATCATCGCTGAACTCCTACTAATGCTTCAAAGACCCATCTGAAAATGCCTTCCGCTAAATAAAAATTGAATGAATTGGGAGAGTACTCTGTGCAGTGGAGTGTCAGTTCTGGAAACCCAGTTCTAATGCACCTGGGGTGACCTCCTCTCTCTGGGCCTCAGTTTCTCATGACTAAAAGAAAAGGATTGGTCTAAAAATTATTTTCTGCTTGCCAAAAAATATTTTCATTCTAAATTCGATTCCCACAAAATAACCATTGAATGAATGAATAAATGAACTTGAGGAGGCTCCTGTTCCAAACTTCCACCAGAGAAGAAACATCCTCAAGGGCTTGGTTCAGGTGGTCATACAGCCTCTGCTTACTCACCTCTCAGGATGGGGTACTCACTATTTCCAGAACAGTTGTTTTGGAGCAGTGGTAACTTGAAATGCCCTTTCTTATCCTGGCCACAACCCCACAACATCCCTCGAGAAAGTCAAAGGCTCAGGGAACAAGGAAGAGGGCTATACTGAGCTGAGTAAGGACTTGCCATCCTGCCACCCAGCACACTCAGACAGAAGCGTGGGCAGGCAGCTGTGAGTGGCAGAATTTTCCCCTCTGCCCCAGGAGCTGTGGTTTGGAGCAAAGACAATGTCACCAACAGGTCACACTGCAGACAGGGACAAAACTGCAAGTGATCCCCCCGGGGCTTGCATTGTAAGTTCACTCATGGTCAACAGAACTTTCCCTTCATCTCCCCATCTGCTGCCACTGAGCCGTAGGGACGATTGTCACCTCCCTTTTAAAGATTAGGCAATGGAGGCTCAAGGATAAGTGACTTGTCAAGCACCACAGCTAGTGAGAGGAAGCCAAGATTCAACCCCACATCTGACTCCAAGCTGGGGGACACAGAACCTCAGCCAAGTCCTGGGCTGGTAATACTTAGAAAAAGCTAGTGGTCTCGCCCCGGGAAGAAGCTTCCCACAGCCTGAGGGCCAGAAGCTGGCAGAGTTGTTGAGCAAACTCGCCCCGCACACGGTCGGCAGACAGCCAGGTGGGCTGAGGCGCCGGGCTCAGCTCCGGGGTCCCAGTACCAGGCGCACCACCTCCGGCTCCAGAGCACCAAGGGCCCTTCCCTGCCTGAGTCCTAAAGGACGCCAATGGGCCTCGAGAATACCTCCGCCCCTTCTCCCCTGCCCCTTCAGCTGGTTCTTTTCTTCGGCTGAAACAGATGGAATACTAGAGCATGAGTTCTGTGTCATAAAGAAATTGCCTCGTGCTCCCAGCATCTGCCGTCCTTCCCACCCCGCCCCTGTCTCGGGTAGGGCCTTCTCTCCAGGCCCTCCACCCTCCGCTGCCCATGTTTTCCAAACCAAATCGGAACCCACTATAATGGCAAGCCCGCTTTCTCTGTGCCTGGTGCAGTTCCCAGTACGTTCCAGGCATTCACTCCTTCACCCACCTGTGCCGCGGCGAGGCAGAAACTGGGAAATCTGGGCAGGATATCCTGGCAGTGCTCTGCTCGCCCTTCCTCGGCCTCCGGGTCTCCCAACCCCGCGAACCTTCCCACTGAATAGCGCAGCCGCACGCCCCAGCAAGTCCCCAAAGAGCCGGCCGTCCCCGCTCTCCACCGTGCTCCCCACTACCCGTCCTCCCCCGCCGCCTTGCCTGCAGTCCCCAAGATCGTGCCAAGCGAAGAGCCCTCGGCGACCTGCACTCCACTTCCTCTCTTACATGGGGGGAAACTGAGGCCCGAGAGGAAACAGCACCGCACCGTCCCGGCTGCGGGTTCGCCCCGGCCTCCCATCCCTACACCCGCACCTTGGCGCAGCGGTGGAAGGTGGCTGTGGTTCCGTGCTCGGGTGCTTCGGCCAGGCCGTCCTCCTCGGAACGCAAGGCTAGCACCAGCTCCTCGTAGTCGCCGTCCTCGTCCTCCTGCGCACGGGCGCCCGCGGGACCCAGGAGCAGCAGCAGCAGCAGCAGCAGTGGCAGCGGCCACCAGGACCGCCTGGAGCTGACGGTGCCCATGAGGGCCAGGGGAGAGGTTGCTGTCCTGGCGAGGAGACCTAGAGGCCGTGCGCGGTCCACGCCGGCGGCGCCTTGAGCCTTGCGGTGGGGAGGACTGTGCAGGAGCTGAAGTTCAGGAGCAGGGCGCGTGAAGGGGCGCGCGGAATCCTGGCTGGGAGCTGGGAGCCGCTGCTGCAACGACGCGTCCCGGCCCGCCCGAGCCAGTCTCACTGCCTGGCTCACTCCTCCAGGCTCAGACCCTGAACTGAACGGCGGCGCCCGCCTGCAACCATGAGCGCCTCGACGTCGCTGCGGAAACCTTCTAGGGTGTGGGTGCTTGACGCCTGGGGCGCGCAGATCACGCCACCAGAGCCCCATCGGACGATCCTATCTGATTAAACATTAACGGAACCCCCGGACTGGAGGATCAGGTTTCGGCCTCGCCCTCCCCAAACAGCGTCAGATTACGCGCAGAGGGAAGAAAAAACTCCCAAATCCTAACTGGGCTGGAAGGCAGGCCGGCGCCCTAGGGGCTCCTCCTCTCCCGCCTCTCACCCTGCGTGGGATGCCAGACTCCAAGTTCTGCCGGGCCCACCTTTTCAGTGTTTCCTGGGTCCACCTTGTCTCCTGCTGACCAGTGAGACTTCTGAATCAATCCTACTGTGGACTCCTCGCTGCCCACCGAATTCTTTCCACTGGCCTTAACCTGGCAGCCTTCTAAACTTAGCCTGGACCCCCTCCGGCCTCTGCCCTTTATGCACCCTGCACACTGACCTTACCAACTAGCTGCTCCTTGAAGAGATTGCTTGCTTTTGATGTCCAGCCTACATGCATTTCAAGGGATTTATACTACAAAGATTCAGGTTTTAAGTTTGCAAAGACGTCATATAGGTACATTCAGAATTCTATGGTAGGCACAAGCTCAGCTTTCCAGAAGATTCAATTTGCAAAGATTCCTTTTACACACCATGTTCAAGAAATCAACTGGACAAGCATCCAGTAAACACCTATTGTGTACCAGGCA
This sequence comes from Homo sapiens, assembly GCF_000001405.40. Lineage (NCBI taxonomy): Eukaryota > Metazoa > Chordata > Mammalia > Primates > Hominidae > Homo > Homo sapiens. Next base: position 55,038,834 of record NC_000001.11, on the reverse strand, counting down.
GGAGGATGAAAAGGGGAAAGAGAGCTCCTGGCCTCAGATTGTACATGTGGCATGACATGAGGCTTGCTCTTTCTGGAAGGGCTGTCGATACTGGGAAGAAACAAAGGCGAATTTATGATCCTCCCTTGCAGATGCACAGCAGATTCCGAGTGAAATGGCCTGCTCTGAATCTAGGTGCTGGAGTCCAAAGTTGATGCTCTTTCCACTTTGTTTGCAAAGACCTCACTCCAGAGAGCCAGTGCACAAAGACAGTGCAACCAGTGGGTTGACAGTGACTCCATGAGGTAAGGTCAGAGTTATCCCCATCGAGCCCGCCATCGCAGCACAGAGTAGGAGCTCATGGTTTGCTGACAGAGGTGGCAGAGGTGGTTCTCCTTCCTGTTGCCTGTAATTGGAATTGTATTTGCAATGTGCTTTTGGCAGCTTCCTCATCAAAGGCCTCCCCTGGAGCAAGAATAGATGGGAGCTAACTTTCCCTGCTGCTCCCCTTTGGGACCTTGGCCTCTCACCTACCGGGGTCGTTACCGTGCACCCAGAGAATGATGAAGCCTGTGCACAGAGGGACATGGATGTCCCCAGGCCCAGGAAGGGGGCTGCTGTCCAGCATGCAGTGGGTGTGTTCTGAGGGAGGTGGGGGAGGAAGGAAGCACCCTGGGCTCTGCGACAGATGGAACCAGAGGGGCAGTCACTTCTCATCCCATATCCTCCACTGCACTCTTATGAGGGGCAGCCCCAGCTGGGCCTCCTGCCACTTGGCAGGGCTTTCATCCCTCACCAATTACCCCTCCCATAAGTTGCCCAAAGGAATTGTGTCACCTTCTCCCTCTTCTCAAATGGGTTCCCCCACACCCTGGCCAGCAAATAAGCAGCCAGCTCCCCTGAGAGGTACCAGCAATCAGGGTAAGTCAGAAGCCTCTTCTGGGGCCTCCCCTCCACCACAAGTGCTTTCTGGGTCAACACCCATCCTTTTCCCCTCCTGCCTTCCTCCTTCAGGGCAGAGGGGACCATCCTCTTATACTCAGCTGACACTCCCCTGCCCCAATCTGGCCTCCGCAGGGATCACCTACCTCCACTATCTCCTCTCCTCCTCTTATCCCTAAATGCCTCTTCCTGAGTTATTCTTTCCCTTCACCCCACAAGCATCCTCAAGGCTTCCTCCCTCTAAAAATGCCACTTTTACTGTCCCTCAAAATGCTTTTCTAGCCATTGCCTTCCCCTCATAGACTGAATGAGTAGATAGAACTCACTTTTATGCTCCCTGGCTACCTTCTCCAACCTCAGAAACTTGGAGTCTGCAGCCACCATTGCTGTGAGTGTACATTTCAACATTTTGAACGGGCATACTCTTTTTTGCAAGGGAGGGGGCATCTTTTTGTGTGAATGTTCAATTTTTTTAAATTTACATGAAAATGTTTTTTTTAAAACGTGAATAGTTTGAAAGGATATACAGTGAAAAGTTCATCTTCCTCCCACTCCTGAACCACCACCTTCTGAGGGAAAACCACTGTTACCCACGGTAGTGGGTTGAATCGTGTCCCCCAAAAAGATAAGTCTAAGACTAACCCCTGGTACTTTTGAATGTGACCTTATTTGGAAATGAGATCTTTGCAGATGTAATTGACCTAAGGATCTCATGAGGAGATTATCCTGGGTTTAGGATGGTCCCTAAATCCAATGACTGATATCAGAAGAGAAAGGGGAGAGATACTTGAGACACAGAAACACCTATGTAACAATGGAGGCGCCGATTAGAGCTGTGCCGACATAAGCCAAGGAATGCCAGGAGCCCCCAAAGGAGCTGGAAGAAGCAAGGAATGTTCCTCCCCTAGAGCTTTGGGAGAGGGCACCACCCTGCAACCCTTCATTCCATACTTCTGGCTTCCATAACTGCAAGAGAATACGTTTTTGTTATTTGAAGCCAGCAAATTTGTAGAAACTTGTTATAACAGCCCCAGGAAAGTAATATACCTATTTATTGGGTATCTTTTCGGAGATAGTCTACTTTTATAAAACTACTTGGATGGGCTCTTTAACCCACTTTTTAAAATTGTAAAAATAGTTTATGATTTACTTTTAACTTTTTATTTATATTGGTGGGGTGGAGAGGGACAACTTAATCTGACGTCTTAACCTAGCCCTAATCTCGGAATAAAAACCACACTGGTACACATACATCTACTGCCTTATTTTTCTGGTTGCAGATTATTTCATTCTATGTATGTTTCACAATGTCTTTAGCCAATTTCCTATTGGTTGGTGTTTCCGTTGGTTGTTTCTGTCTTTTGCTATTGCAATCCAAGTTGCCATGTCTGTCCTTATCCATAGCTGTTTGCACATGTGAGAGTATCTGTTTCATAAATTCCTGGAAGTGGAATTTCGAGATAAAGGGCACATGAATGCTCTATATTGATGATGTCTTCCCACGAGCAGTGCTGGAGGAATCCATCAGAATAGGCTAGGTTCTGCTTCCAGCACATGCACGCCCCAAATCTCAGGGGCTTGAAATGTCAAAGGTTTATTTCTGTCTCACCTCACATGTCCATCAAGGACTTTGCTTCACTACTTCATTACCCTCACCCCAGAACCAGACTGATAAAGCAACCATCATTCAGAACATTGCTGAACACTGAGGCTGACGGAAAGCAAAGAGGTGACTCCATGCAGCTTCCACACAAAAGTGACCCACAACACTTCCGTTCACATTTCCTTCTCCTAAGCGAGACACATGACCACACCTAAGGTCAAATGTAGGAAACTGCAATCACACCAAGTGCCCAGAAGGAGGAGAAAGGGTATATTTGTGAATACCACTGGCAACTACCGCTCATGGTCACACCCAGGCCAACACAGAGTTGCCAAATATTTTGACCTTTCCTTAAGTTAAACAATTATCTACATTTGTTTGTCTTTGAACTGTCTCTTCATTTTTTCATTTTGGCTGTGGAGCTTTTGTTTGATGATTTGTAATAGCTTTTTATGTATAATACCAAAATTAGCCTGCTGTCTCTTATGTATGTTGCAAATCTATTTTCCAGTTTGTTGATTGATTTTTGACTTTATTGTATTTTTTTCCATAGAAAATTTTAATTTTCATGGAGTCAAACTTATCAGCCTTTTATTTCATGACTTCTTGATTTTGTACTGTGCTTAGAAAGGCCTCCTCCTTATCAAGATCATATAAAAATTGTCCTCCTTTTTTAAATCTTTTTTTAATATCTTGGCTTCCACTGGGATTTACTTTTGTATAAGGAGTGAGGTTATTTTTCTCCAGAAGGCTAGCCTATTGTTCCAATACCGTTTATTCCGTAACTCATTTTTTCTCCCTGATTAGAAATGACGTCTTAGTAACAAAACTCCCTTGCGACTCTACATCTAATTCTGGCTGTTTTTGTACCTTTAATATCTCTAGTCAGTAGCAAACTGTGAAAATGTGCTATATACTGACCTAGCTATTTGATTTCTTAGGAATTTATCCTAAGGAAATAATTAGGCAAGTGGACAAAGAGGTACTAATGATATAGAAATCATTGTGCAAACGGAGAGCAACTAAAGTGTGTGGAGGCCCTAATATAATCTAGCAAGGACCCCAGCGATGTACACCCACCATTCAAGGATGAGGCTGGAGCTGGCCCAATGGCCCAGGATGGACAAAGGGTCCAGGACAGCAGCACGCTTTTCCGTAAGAAGCTCTGCTGTAAAATGGGTGTGCTCAGCTCTTAAAACAGCTTCTGACTCAGTAAAGACTGAACAGGGTATAGGAAGCCCAGACATGTGGTGGGGTGGGAAGTTTGCATCTGGTCCCGCTGCTGGGAGCCACAGGGAGCTGTGGCCATGGCTCCTCAGTGCCCTTCTGGCTGCGCTGCCTCCTGCCTCTTGGGGTGGTATGAGTCCTGGCTCCGACTGCAACATGTTGATTCACTTAGCTCTCCCCGCTCCACCAGCTTTACTGTCTCCTCTAATAAAACTCTCACTTTGATCTGCCAGGGTGTCATATATTACACTTCTGTTTGCTCTTATTGAATTTCTTCCAGGGGTTCAGCAATCCAAACATTCATCAATGGAGGGACAGATTTTAGTCTGTTCATATGGTGGGATATTTGGCAGCTGGTAAAAAGAAATAAATGGAGGTTTATATATTGACATGGAAAGATGTCCAACATCAATAACTTTTAAACAGCATGTTATGATCCCATTTCAATAAAGTGGTTACATTTGTATATATAATGTTTGTCTCTGCATAAACAACATAAGATTTAAGGTACAGACCCCAAATGGAATTATAAGAGAGTCTTGATGTCTGCATTCTACAGTTATATCATGTTTAAAATTGTAAAATAGGCTGGGTGCGGTGGCTCACGCCTGTAATCCCAGCATTTTGGGAGTCCGAGGCAGACGGATCAATTGAGGTCAGGAGTTCGAGACCAGCCTGGCCAACATGGTAAAACCCCATCTCTACTAAAATACAAAAATTAGCCAGGCGTGGTGGTGGGTGCCTGTAATCCCAGCTACTAGGGAGGCTGGGGCAGGGGAATTGCTTGAACCCGGGAGGCAGAGGTTGCGGTGAGCCGAGATTGCACCACTGCACTTCAGCTGGGCAACAGAGTGAGACTCCACCTCAGAAAAACCCCAAAAGACATAACATCGTAAAATAAACATGGCTCCTCTCTTGGAGCACTTAGAACTCCTCCTCTTTGTCCACAAAGCATTTTCATCCTTCCTGTCTCATTCGCCCCAGCCCTGTGGGACATGCTGTGCTGGGACTATCATCTCTGTTTAATAGACAAGAAAATTGAGAGGCAGAGAGGGAGAGCATTTTGTGCACATCACACAGCTATGGGTCAGAGTGGACTTAAACTCCCTTTCCAGCTGTTTCCCATAGCCCCAGAGGGCAAGGGTTGGAGCTCAGGGCTCTCCCTCCTGAGGTCGGGGAGACAGGGCTGCAACTCTCTACTTGAGAGCATTTCCTCCCATGTGCAGTAGGGGCTACATGGAAGGTGACAGATATAAAGGGCTGCCTGCAAACCTGTCAGAGAGTGCATCTGTCTTCCCCACGGGTCGTGAACTCAGTATAAGCAGGGAACCTGCCTGAGTCAGGTCATCCTTGGCATCCCTAGCACCAAGCTAGAGCCTGACATGTATGTTTAATGACTGAGTTAATTACTGAACACCTATTATGTACCAGGGACTGTTCTAGATGCTGGGTATGGCAGTGAACAAGATCCATAGAATCCCTGCCCCTGTGCAGCCCTCCCTCTAGTAGGGCGGAACAGACGACAAATCAAACATGTACTGTGTGAGATGGTGATGAGTGCCATGGAGGAAAAGGAAAAGAGAAGAGGGTGGGAGACCTGGCACTTTAAAACAGGGCGGTGTGCAAAGAGAACACTGGAGGAAAGGAGCTGAGAGGACGGGCCGTGGACACAGTGGAGAAGTGCTGCCCCAGACTGGAACAGCCCAGAGATGGGAAGGAGCCTGCAAGGAAGAGCTGGGCTGGAGGCTGGTGTGGGGGCAGACCTGGGGGAGCTCGCCAACCATTCTGGGGACTCTGGCTTTTCTCCGGGAAGGTGGAGAGCTAAGGGCAGGTTTTAAGCAGAGGAGGGTAAATTAGTTCGTTTTCATGCTGCTGATAAAGACATACCCAAGACTGGGAAGAAAAAGAGGTTTAATTGGACTTACAGTTCCACATGGCTGGGCAGGCCTCAGAATCACGGCAGGAGGCGAAAAGCACTTCTTACATGGCAACAGCAAGAGAAAATAAAAAGGATACAAAAGCAGAAACCCCTGATAATCCCATCAGATCCTATGAGACTTATTCACTATCACGAGAATAGCATGGGAAAGACCAGCCCCATGATTCAATTACCTCTCCCTGGCTCCCTCCCACAACATGTGGGAATTCTGGGAGACACAATTCAAGCTGCGAGTTGAATGGCAACACAGCCAAACCACATCATTCTGCCCCTGACCCCTCCAAATTTCATGTCCTCACATTTCAAAACCAATCATGCCTTCCCAACAGTCTCTCAAAGTTTTAACTCATTTCAGCATTGACCCAAAAGTCCACAGTCCAAAGTCTCATCTGAGACAAGGCAAGTCCCTTCCACCTATGAGCCTGTAAAATCGAAAGCAAGCTGGTTACTTTCTAGATACAATAGGGATACAGGTATTTGGTAAATACAGCCATTCCAAATGGGAGAAATTGGCCAAAACAAAGGGGCTACAGGCCCCATGCAAGTCCAAAATCCAGTGGTGCAGTCAAATTTTAAAGCTCCAAAATGATCTCCTTTGACTCCACATCTCACATCCAGGTCACGCTGATGCAAGAGGTAGGTTCCCATGGTCTTGGGCAGCTCTGCCCCTGTGACTTTGCAGGGTACAGCCTCCCTCCCAACAGCTTTCATGGGCTGGCATTGATTGTCTGCAGATTTTCCAGGAGAACAGTGCAAGTTGTCAGTGGATCTACCATTCTGGGGTCTGGAGGACAGTGGCCCTCTACTCAGCTCCACTAGGCAATGCCCCAGTAGGGATTCTGTCTGGGGGCTGTGACCCCACATTTCCCTTCTGCACTGTCCTACCAGAGGTTCTCCATGAGCACCCCACCCTGAAGCAAATTTCTGCCTGGACATCCAAGCATTTCCTACGTCTTCTGAAATCTAGGTGGAGGTTCCCAAACCTCAATTCTTGACTTCTGTGCACCTGCAGGCTCAACACCACATAGAAGTTGCCAAGTCTTGGGGCTTCCACCTCTGAAGCCACAGCCCAAGCTGTATGTTGACCCCTTTCAGCCATGCCTGGAGCAGCTGGGACACAGAGCACCAAGTCCCTGGGCTGCACACAGCACAGGAACCCTGGGCCTGGCCCACAAAACCACTTTTTCCTCCTGGGGCTCTAGGCCTGTGATGGGAGGAGCTGTTGTGAAGGTCCCTGACATGGCCTGGAGACATTTTCTCCATGGTTTTGAGGATTAACACTAGGCTCCTTGCTACTTAGGCAAATTTCTGCAGCTGGCTTGAATTTCTCCTCAAAAAATGGGTTTTTCTTTTCTACTGCAATATTAGGCTGCAAATTTTCTGAACTTTTGTGCTCTGCTTCCCGTTCAAAACAGAATGTTTTTAACAGTACCCAAGTCACCTCTTGAATGCTTTGCTGCTTAGAAATTTCTTCCACCAGATACCCTAAATCGTCTCTCTCAAGTTCGACGTTCCGCAAATCTCAAGGGCAGGGGCAAAATGTTGCCAGTCTCTTTGCTAAAACATAACAGGAGTCACCTTTGCTCCAGTTCCCAACAAGTTCCTCATCTGCCCCCTCTGAGACCACCTCACCTTGGGCCTTATTGTTCATATCACTATGAGTATTTTTGTCAAAGCCATTGAACAAGTCTCTAGGAAGTTCCAAACTTTCTCACATTTTCCTGTCTTCTTCTGAGCCCTCCAAACTGTTCCAAATTCTGCCTGTTACCCAATTTCAAAGTCATTTCCACATTTTCAGGTATCTTTTAAGCAACACCCCACTCTCAGTACCAATTTACTGGATTAGTCCATTTTTATGCTGCTGATAAAGACATACCTGAGACTAGGAAGAAAAATAGGTTTAATTGGACTTATAGTTCCACGTGGCTGCGGAGGTCTCAGAATCATGACGGGAAACGAAAGGCACTTCTTACATGGCGGAGGCAAGAGAAAATGAGGAGGAAGCAAAAATGGAAACCCCTGATAAACCCATCAGATCTCCTGAGACTTATTCACTACCATGAGAATAGCATGGGAAAGACCATCCCCCATGATTCAATTACCTCCCCCTGGGTCCCTCCCACAACACGTGGGAATTCTGGGAAATACAATTCAAGCTGAGATTTGAATGGGGACACAGCGAAACCATATCAGAGGGACATGATCTGATTTATAATTTTTGAGGATTGCTGTGAGTGCTATTTGGAAAATAGATGTCGGTGACCAGGGTAAAAGCAGAGAGAGCAGGTGGGAGACTGTGAGCCACACTGGTAGTGGCTTAGATCAGAGGCAGCAGTGGGACTCTGAGTGTATTTGTATTTGTCCACAGATGAGATGTGAGAGGTGACAGTGTTTTGGCCTTGTCACTTAAGGAGCAGCTGGGGAGCCCAGAGAGGAGTGGCTTAGTGGAGAACTGAGGAGTTCTGGGTGCATGGGTTTGAGCCATTCACCAGATGGCCAAGGTGTCACATGGAACTTAGGGGAGATGCTGGGCTGGAAGTTGTCAACATATCAACGTAATTCAATGACAGGGGACTCACAGAGATCACGAGGGAGCATGTCCAGGAGGAGGAAGTGACCAACTGGGTCAAATGAGGCCCACGGGACAAGCAAGGTGAGAAAGGAAAATCAGTCAGATGCTGGGGTCCGGTGTTCTGATTTAGCCATGTGGAGATCACCAGGAAGGCCTGTGTAGAGACAATGCAGGAAGAGGAGCCAAAGACGGCCACCACAGACATCACTTTCAAGGTTTTCCCTATATCCTTGGGGAAGCAGGAAGATGGATGATGGCCCAGAGCTGATGGAAGTGTTACAGTTGAGACAGAGAAGCTGGCAATGCTGGAGAGTAGGGAGCATCTCTTAGGAGGTGAGAAGGGATGGATCCTAGTGCACAGGTGGAAGGCTCTATCCTCTAGACAAGGGTGCAGCCATAATCACAGGGGAAGGTGGAAAAGGAGGCACAGGCAGGCAGGTAGGGAGATGATGTGGAGGGGGGAGCCATTGGAGGTTCTCTCTTTATTGAGTCTATTTTCTCATTGGAATAGGAAGCAAGGCAGCAACTATAAGGCAGGCTGGGGGAGAAGGATTTGGGGGTTTAAGGAGAAAGGAGAAGGCATGTTGCTGTCATTGTCTGGGGGCAGGGCAGCACTGCACGGGGCCACAGGCCTGGGCTCCAGGACAAGTCACGCAGTCTCTTCCTGTGTGTCTATCTCTTCGTCTGTGAAATGGCAATAGTTACAGAATGTACCTCACAGAGTTGTTTAAAAAATACTTGATAATAACATGCTTAGAATATTGCCTGCAACATATAACTATTATATACGCTTTTACTGAGATAAAAAATAAAATAAATAAGTCAGGCAGAGAAATGGACTTGGAAACGGAGTGGGTTTTTAGGACCGCCTCCAGGGCCCACAGGAGCCGAGTGGTTTGTGAGTGAGACCAGAAAGCATGTGTGTTTCTCTCTGGCTGTGCTCAGCCGCCTGGGTGCAGGAGCAGGGGGTTGGGGGTGGCTGAGTTTAAGTAGAGTGGGATTTCTCCTCTGTGAGTACAATAACTAGTACGAGGATGTGGGGAGGGTGGATGGCAGACTGGACCATGAAGTCTGGGCTGGGAGGAGGGGAGATGTGCAAGGAGGTGAGTGAGAGGCAGACGTGAAAGGCTGGCGTCAATGAAAATATTGGAGTTGGGAGAAAAGGAAAGTGGTGGTCAGAAAGGGCGTGTTTGGAATGGAGGTTCTGGAGGAGCTTGTTATCGTAGTGACAAGGGCAAGAGTATGCAGGTGGGAATGGAAGGCTGAAAAAGGGGCAGGCAAGGTCTCTGGAGGTGGAAGGACTGAGGTGCCAGAGCGTGCAACCGACTCTCTAGAAACACGCTGAAATCCCCCAGCAGGTGAAAGGGCTATGAGCCGGAGCTAAGTCTTCCGGTGTAATCTGATGACAGGAACTTCAATACAGTCATGCATCCATATGTCCCTGGCAATTTTGTCATGGTGCGAATATCATATAGTTAGACCTAGATGGGGTAGCCCACTACACACCGAGACTATATGGGATAGACAGCCTATTGCTCCTAGACTACAGACTTGTACAGCACAGTGCTGAATGCTGTAGCCAACTGTAACACAATGGTAAGTATTTGTGCATTTAAACAAATCTAGGGCCGGGTGCGGTGGCTCACGCCTGTAATCCCAGCACTTTGGGAGGCCGAGGCGGGTGGATCACGAGGTCAGGAGATCGAGACCATCCTGGCTAACATGGTGAAAACCCGTTTCTACTAAAAATACAAAAAACCAGCTGGGCGTGGTGGCGGGCACCTGTAGTCCCAGCTACTCGGGAGGCTGAGGCAGGAGAATGGCATGAACCCGGGAGGCAGAGCTTGCAGTGAGCCGAGATTGCACCACTGCACTCCACCCTGGGCAACAGAGTGAGACTCCGTCTCAAAAAAAAAAAAAAAAAAAAATCTAAACATAGAAATAGTATAGTAAAAATACTATAGTAAAAATAAAATGTAAAAGAGAAAAATGGCACATCTGTGTAGGGCACTTAGCATGAACAGAGCTTGCAGGACTGGAAGTGGCTCTGGGTGTCAGTGAGTGAGTGGGGAGTGAATGTGAAGGCCAGGGACATTACTGTACTTAACTATAAACTTTATAAAAAGTGTACATTTAGGCTACGCTAAATTTATTTTTTTAAGTAACTGTGCTACGACGTTACAATGGCTATTTTCACCAGATTTCATGCGCGTCCGTGTGAAGAGACCACCAAACAGGCTTTGTGTGGGCAACATGGCTGTTTATTTCACCTGGGTGCAGGTGGGCTGAGTCCGAAAAGAGAGTCAGCGAAGGGAGATAAGGGTGGGGCCGTTTTATAGGATTTGGGTAGGTAAAGGAAAATTACAGTCAAAGGGGGTTTGTTATCTGGCGGGTAGGAGTGCGGGGTCGCAAGGTGCTCAGTGGGCAGGAGTGGGGGTCGCAAGGTGCTCAGTGGGGGTGCTTTTTGAGCCAGGATGAACCAGGGAAAGGACTTTCACAAGGTAATGTCATCAGTTAAGGCAAGGACCGGCCATTTACACTTCTTTTGTGGTGGAATGTCATCAGTTAAGGTGGGGCAGGGCATATTCACTTCTTTTGTGATTCTTCAGTTACTTCAGGCCATCTGGGCGTATACATGCAAGTCACAGGGGATGCGATGGCGTGGCTTGGGCTCAGAGGCCTGACATTCCTGCCTTCTTATATTAATAAGAAAAATAAAATAGTGTTGAAGTGTTGGGGCGGCGAAAATTTTTGGGGGGTGGTATGGAGAGAGAATGGGCGATGTTTCTCAGGGCTGCTTCAAGCGGGATTAGGGGCGGCGTGGGAACCTAGAATGGGAGAGATTAAGCTGAAGGGAGATCTTGTGGTAAGGGGTGATATTGTGGGGATGTTAGAAGAAACGTTTGTCGTATAGAATGATTGGTGATGGCCTGGATACGGTTTTGTATGAATTGAAAAACTAAATGGAATAAGAGAAGGAGAAAAACAGGTATAAAAGGACTAAGAATTGGGAGGACCTAGGACATCTAATTAGAGAGTGCCTAAGGAGATTCAGCATAGTCCTGCCAGCAAAGATTATTTATTTACTTCAAGAGTTAAGAGTGGCAGTTTTGGGATACCACCGGGAGATATCAGCTGTGATGGCTTGGAGAAACAGTGTAAACCGGCAGTGTAAACAAGAGCAGGGCATGTATGAGTAGTTGAGAACGGTGAATAGGAGTATGACTAGACAGAAGATAGTAGGGATGACAAGTTTTCTGGGGCACAGTCCAAGTTGGTCTGGTGTCTGGAATGAGACTGGGGCCTAATAAAAAGGAGCGTCTATACAGGAGCTTAAATGGGCTGTACCTTGTAGCATTCCGAGGACAGGCCTGAATTCTGAGAAGGGAAAGTGATAAAAGTATTGTCCAGTCCTTTTTGGTGGCTGAGCTTGGTGAGGTGTGTTTTTAAAAGACCATTAGTCTGTTCTACTTTTCTTGAAGACGGAGGACCGTAAGGGATATAAAGGTTTCACTGAATACTAAGAGCCTGAAAAAATGCTTGGCTGATTTGACTAATAAAGGCTCATCTGTTATCAGACTGTATTGAGGTGGGAAGGCTAAACTGAGGAATTGTGTCTGACAGAAGGGAAGAGATGACTGCGGTGGCCTTCTCAGACCCTGTAGGAAAGGCCAGTACTTATCCAGTAACTAAAATACCTCCAGACTAAGAGGTATTTTAGTTATCTGACTCAGGCATGTTGAGTAAAGCTAATTTGCCAGTCCTGGGTGGGGCAAATCCTCGAGCTTGATGTGTAGGGAAGGGAGGGGTCCTGAATAATCCCTGAGGAGTAGTAGAATAGCAGATGGAACACTGAGAAGTTATTTCCTTGAGGATAGATTTCCATGATGGAAAGGAAATGAGAGGTTCTAAGAGGTGGGCTAGTGGCTTGTACTATAGCGTAGTCTGCCTTTGCTGGTGTGTGGCGATTAGGCCTGGTGGAACTGCCATCAATAAATCAAGCATGATCAGGGTGAGGAACAGGAAAGAAGGAAATATGGGGAAATGGGGTGAATGTCAGGTGGATCAGAGAGATACAGTCGTGGGGGTCAGGTGTGGTATCAGGAATAATGTGGGAGGCCAGATTGAGGTCTGGGCCAGGAACAACGGTAATTGTGGGAGTTAACAAAGAGTGAGTACAGCTGAAGGAGCCGGGAAGCAGAAAGTATATGTGTCAGGTATGAGGAAGAAAATAGATTTTGGAAGTTATGAGAAATGTAGAGAGTGAGTTGAGCATAGTTTGTGATTTTGAGGGCCTCTAAAAGTATTAAAGCAGTGGCAGCCGCTGCACGCAGACATGAGGGCTAGGCTAAAACAGTAAGGTCAAGTTGTTTGGACAGAAAGCCTACAGGGTGTGGTCCTGGCTCTTGTGTAAGAATTCTGACCACGCTAACCATGCCTAGGAAGGAAAGGAGTTGTTGTTTTGTAGAAGGTGCTGGGGTTTGAGAGATCAGTCGGACACGATTGGCAGGGAGAGCACATGTGTTTTTATGAGAATTACGCCAAGATAGGTAACAGATGAGGAAGAAATTTGGGCTTGATTGAAGTAATGGGGGCTGTCTGTGAAGCTTTGCAGCAGTACAGCCTAGGTAATGTGCTGAGCTTGATGGGTGTCAGGGTCAGTCAAAGTGAAAGTGAAGAGAGGCTGGGATGACGGGTGCAAAGGAATAGTAAAGAAAGCATGTTTGAGATCCAGAACAGAATAATGGGTTATAGAGGCAGGTATTGAGGATAGGAGAGTATATGGGTTTGGCACCACGGGGTGGATAGGCAAAACAATTTGGTTGATAAGGCGCAGATCCTGAACTAACTTGTAAGGCTTGTCTGGTTTTAGGACAGGTAAAATGGGGGAATTGTAAGGAGAGTTTATAGGCTTTAAAAGGCCATGCTGTAGCAGGCAAGTGATAACAGTCTTTAATCTTTTTAAAGCGTGCTGCGGGATGGGATATTGGCATTGAGTGGGGTAAGGGTGATTAGGTTTTAATGAGATGGTAAGGGGTGCATGATTGGCCACCAAGGAGGGAGTAGAGGTATCTTATACTTGTGGGTTAAGGTGGGGGGTACAAGAGGAGGACACAAAGGAGGCTTTGGATTGGGAAGAAGGGCGGCAATGAGATATAGCTGTAGTCCAGGAATAGTCAGGGAAGCAGATAATTTAAAGTGTCTCAGCCTAATAAGGGAACTGGGCAGGTGGGGATAACTAAAAAGGAGTGCTTAAAAGAGTATTGTCTAAGTTGGCACCAGAGTTGGGGAGTTTTAAGAGGTTTAGAAGCCTGGCCGTCAATACCCACAACAGTTATGGAGGCAAGGGAAACAGGCCCTTGAAAAGAAGGTAATGTGGAGTGAGTAGCCTCCGTATTGATTAAGAAGGGGACGGGCTTACCTTCCACTGTGAGAGTTACCCAAAGCTCGGCGTCCGTGATGGTCTGGGGGCTTCCGAGGCGATCGGGCAGTGTCAGTCTTCAGCCGCTAAGCCGAGAAGATCTGGGAAGGAGTCAGTCAGAGAGCCTTGGGCCAGAGTTCCAGGGGCTCTGGGAGTGGCTGCCAGGTGAGTTGAACAGTCCGATTTTCAGTGGGGTCCCACACAGATGGGACGCGGCTTAAGAGGAATCCCGGGCTGCGGGCATTCCTTGGCCCAGTGGCCAGATTTCTGGCACTTGTAGCAAACTCCTGGGGGAGGAGGTTCTGGAGGAACGCCTGGCCGCTGTGGTTCAGGCGTTTGGAAGTTCTTGTGTGCTGGAGATGTGGCTGGGGTTTGTCTCACAGTGGAGGCAAGGAATTGCAACTGTTTTCTATTATTGCACACCTTGAAGGCGAGGTTAATTAAATCCTGTTGTGAGGTTTGAGGGCTGGAATTTAATTTTTGGAGTTTTATTTAATGTCAGGAGTGGATTGGGTAATAAAATGAGTATTGAGAATAAGACGGCCCTTTGACTTTTTAGGGTCTAGGGCTGTAAAGTGTCTCAGGGTTGCTGCCAAACGAGTCATGAACTGGGCTGGATTTTTATATTTGATGAAAAAGAGCCTAAATGCTATCTGATTTGGGATAAAGAAAAAGGAGCATTAACCTTGACTATGCCTTTGGCTCCATCCACCTTTTTAAGAGTAAATTGCTGGGCAGGTGGGGGAGGGCCAGTCACGGAACGAAACTGTGAGCCGGATCGGGTGTGAGGAGGGGAGGTGATAAAAGGATTATAGGGTGGAGGAGCGGAGGCTGAGGAAGAATTGGGACTTAGCTCGGCCTGGTGATGAGCAGCCTGGGGAGGAGGGGAAAGGTCAGATGGGTCTGTAGAAAAGGAAGACTGGAAAGACTCAGCGACGCTTGGGGTTGGGACTGAGGGGACAGGCGGGAGGGAAAGAAGGAGGATCTGGGAGGAATTGCATTGGGAACAGAGGCTAGGGAGGGAACGAAGTGTGAAAAATGCCTGGACGTAAGGCACCTCAGACCATTTGCCCATTTTTCGACAAAAATTATTTAGGTCTTGTAGGATGCAGAAATCAAAAGTGCCGTTTTCTGGCCATTTAGGGCCATTGTCAAGTTTGTATTGGGGCCAAGTGGTGTTGCAGAAGAAAATAAGGCATTTAGGTTTTAGGTCAGGTGTGAGTTGAAGAGGTTTTAAGTTCTTAAGGACACAGGCTAAAGGAGAAGAAGGAGGAATGGAGGGTGGAAGGTTGCCCATAGTGAAGGAGGCAAACCCTGAGAAAAGAGAGCGTAGAGACACGGAGGAGGGGAGTGGGGTTCTTGCCCTCCAGAAAAGCAGAGAGGGGGTTGGGACACGGAAATAAGGGATTGGGGCACAGAGATAAGAGGTCAGGGTGCGGAAATAAGGGATTGGGGCACAGAGATAAGAGGTTGGGGTGCGGAAATAAGCGATTGGGGGGTCCTTGCCCCCTAGGAAAGCGGGACTTGCCGCTAAGGGTGAAGGACCAAGGCAGGCGTCCCTGCGTGGTCTGACACCCTTGAAACGTGAGTGGATAATCAGAGAGGCATCCCTGCAATGATTAAACACCAAGGGAAGGCTGCCTTCCCAGTCCGTGACCGGCACCGGGGTTTTGGGTTCATGGATAAAACATGTCTCTTTTGTCTCTACCAAAAAATGAAAGAAATTGAAATTAAGAGAAGGGAGAGATTGAAGTGTGGCGCCAAGATTGAAAGGAGAAAGAGGTTGAGGGATAGTGAGGGAGGTTGGAGAAGAGAGTAAAAAGAGGCAGCTTACCGGACTTGAAATTGGTGAGATGTTTCTTGGGCTGGTCGGTCTGAGGACCTGAGGTCGTAGGTGGATCTTTCTCATGGAGCAAAGAGCAGGAGGACAGGGGATTGATCTCCCAAGGGAGGTCCCCCGATCCGAGTAACGGCACCAAATTTCACCAAATTACATGTGCATCCGTGTGAAGAGACCACCAAACAGGCTTTGTGTGAGCAACATGGCTGTTTATTTCACCTGGGTGCAGGCGGGCTGAGTCCAAAAAGAGAGTCAGCGAAGGGAGATAAGGGTAGGGCCGTTTTATAGGATTTGGGTAGGTAAAGGAAAATTACAGTCAAAGGGGGTTTGTTCTCTGGCGGGTAGGAGTGGGGGTCGCAAGGTGCTCAGTGGAGGTGCTTTTTGAGCCAGGATGAACCAGGAAAAGGACTTTCACAAGGTAATGTCATCAGTTAAGGCAAGGACCAGCCATTTACACTTCTTTTGTGGTGGAATGTCATCAGTTAAGGTGGGGCAGGGCATATTCACTTCTTTTGTGATTCTTCAGTTACTTCAGGCCATCTGGGCGTATACGTGCAAGTCACAGGGGATGCGATGGCTTGGCTTGGGCTCAGAGGCCTGACAGCTATGACGTCTCTAAGCGAGGTGACAGGAGTTTCTCAGCTCTGTTGTAATCTTATGGAACCACTGTCATGTATGTGGTCTGTCGTTGCCTGAAACATTGCTGTGTGGCGCATGACTGCGTTTATGGAGGAGAGAAGGACAATGATCCAGAGAGTGGGGCACTGAGAGCAAGGAGACCCTACCCCTCTCAGGCGGGGGGAAAGGACTGCAGGGACGGCAGCAGTGTCCTTGGGGGACAGGGGCCTTCCAGTCAAGGCCAGAAAGGGACCGAAACGCTGCCAGAGGCTGTTGAAAAGCAGGGGGTTGCTGGTGCTGGAGCAGGATTTGGAGGACGCAGTTTCAGGAAGGGAGGAAGGAAGGAATAGGGAGAGAGGGACAGGCCCAGAGAACCAGGCCTCTCCCAGGAAGCTTCCGGCCACTCTGGAGCAGCAGCCTTGCCCAGCTAGACCAGCAGAGGGCGCCAGGTACCTGTCATCTGAGCCCACGGCCTGCCCACTGCCCAGGCCCGGCCCAGCCCATAAGCTGCTGGCACCTGCTCTCACCCCTGAGCTGAATCAGCCCTCGCCTCATCCTCAGAGTCCACAGGGAGGCAGATGAGAGCACAGGCGACTGTGATAGGAGGCAAGAGGAGCCAAGTCTCACAGAAGGGACAGGCTAGGTGCTGCGGGAACTCAGTCAGATGGGCACTGAATCCGGGCCGGCTTCCTGGAGGTGGCAGCTCGGGATCTGTGGTCCAGTTATAATGGTGGTAGGAAGCAGTGCATGGCCCAGCTGGAGACACTGAGATGGGAGGCTGGTTTTTAACGCCTCTCGAGGCCAAGGCATGGCCCTCTCCTGAGGTTAGGGGACTCTGGGAGATTCTGAACAAAAGAGGGTCATGACCAGCACGCCGGCCTCAAAAATGCTTTCCTCTCCACCTGCTCAAGAATGGCTCTGGGCCCAATGCACATCACCAGTCTCCACCCTCTCCTCTCCTCCCCTCTCTTCCCAGGAAGCCCCTTGTCTGCCACTTCATGGAGAAAAGGAGGCCACTGGGGTCTTCCTGGCACCTGCCACAGGCAGCCCCTCTCCACCCTGTATGTCCCCACTCCCTGCCGGCTTAAAGGGAAGAGCTGTTGCTGTTCTCTGACATGTCTGCCTGGCTCTCTCTGTCTCTCTTTTGTACACATCAAGGCTTACTCACCCTTTTTCCTGCCAGCCTCTCAGCACGCTCAGATCTCTTCCACCCTAAAAAAACAAAATGCAGGCCGGGCACGGTGGCTCACACCTGTAATCCTAACACGTTGGGAGGCTGAGGCGGGTGGATCACCTGAAGTCAGGAGTTCAAGACCAGCCTGACCAACATGGAGAAACCCTGTCTCTACTAAAAACACAAAATTAGCCGGGCGTGGTGGCGCATGCCTGTAATCCCAGCTACTCGGTAGGCTGAGGCAGAGAATCGCTTGAACCTGGGAGGCGGAGGTTGTGGTGAGCTGAGATCGCGCCATTGCACTTCATCCTGGGTGACAAGAGGGAGACTCCATCTCAAAAAGAAAAAAAATGCAAACAGAACAAAACCTCCCTTGATCACCTTCCATGTTACAGACATTGGGGTACAGCAGTGAACAAGATAGACAAAATCCCTTTTCTCATGCAGCCCTCATAGTTGAGTGAAACAGGTAATAAATTAATGTTCAGCCTATAAGTTGGTGATAAGAGCACTAGAGAATGATGAAAAGAGAAGGATAAAATGTGTCAGTGGGGACAGGGGATGGGCAAGCCAAACTTTTCAATAGGCTTGTCCAAGAGGGTCCAGCTTCTGCAGCTCTTCCTACAGCGCACTCCACCTCTGCCTCCACCCCAGACCCCTCCACAGTGCTCTGTCCAAGGCCACCTCAGTCCTGCTAGTGTTTCTCCAAGCATGGCCCAGGGGCCACCTGCATCAGAGTGGTGGAATGAGGCTGCGGCAACTCCTCCTACCCTCCCGCTTTGAGAATTGCAGATTCCTCTGCCTGGCCCAGAATCTCCAGGAACTGGGCCCAGGAATCTGCATTTCATAAACTCCTCAGGAGATACCAAAGCAGCCCTAAGTGTGGGAACCACAGATTTACTCCCTGAAAATGTAGCACTGCCTCAAGCAGTCCAGGTCACCCAGCTCCACTCTGCAGCCATGGCTCATGCTATGCCTTCCTCCTGGAATGCCCTTCCCAGCATTCTTTGCCTGATAATTCTCATGACACCCACCCCAAGGGTCTCCTCCTCCAGGCAGCACTCCCTGAACTTTCTGCCCTATGTTCCCCCTCTTCTCTTTGCCAAGGGAGTCCTCTATGTGACAATCTCTTCTGCTGGACCAGGAGCTCCTACAGCTGGGACCCCCTTTAGTCCAATTCGCTTTGGTCTGGAGAGAGTGGTTTTAGAGCCCAACTACCACTTAGGAGCATCCCTCTGGTGGGTGTGGTGGGGTCCAGCCTGGAGACAGTACCCTGTGAGGGGCCATGTGATAATGAGCACAGGCTGGAGGGGTGGTGACAGTGGCTATCATGAGGAGGGAAGAAAGGGGGAAGGGGATGTTGTGGAGGCAGAAAGCTAGGCCTTGGCAGCAGATGGGACACGACCCAGGCGGAGATCCAGAACATGAGTTCTAATCCCAGCTCTGCTACAAATTCACGGTGTGACCCTGGGCAACAACTTGCCCCTTTCTGAGCCTCAGTTCACTCATCAGCAGAACAGTGGCAATCACTCTCCCCTCACTGAGGAGATGCAAAGTCCAACAAGATAGCACATCTAAAACTGCTTTAGAAAGTCCTGACATGAGGCAAGCATGGAGGGGGAGGAAGGACGGGATCTGAGTGGTCAGATGGCAGCCCCACTCCTCCACACAAATACCCAACTGGGTCACCCCGACTGGCCATTTGGATCCAAAGGACCCCAAGGGCATGCACCCGATTTGCATCAGTGCTCTGAGGTCCAGGGTGAAAGGAAAGAATCCCCAGCAGCCCGGGCCCCAGGGCAAGTGGAGGTGGGGACCGGGAGGAATGTGCCTTCAGCTGCTTCGGGGGCCCCTAGCCCTCACCCCTAGGCCAAAATATTTCCATCACCTCCTCGTCAGGGTGTTAATGGTGCAGAGAAGTCAGCCATCTCAGCCAGGGAGGAAGGTCAGATCTCCAAAACCCAGCCCAGCAACAACCACTGAGGTCCCCACGAGGTCCCCAGGCCTGGAATCATTCCTGTGAGGCAGGCAGGCAGGACTGCCACCCCATGCTGGGGGGTAGAAAACTGAGGCTGGGGAAAGCCTTATAGGGAATCAGGGCCAGGGTCTAGATCCACAACCGCAGGCAGGGAAGAACGAAGTTCCTCCCCGGGAAGAGGTAGGGAGGCATTGACTGGCACCCTGTTATTGAGATGAGAAACCCCAGGCTTGGGCAGATGACTTGAACTTCAGGATGCAGAAGGCAATGCTCAGAGCTGCCCAAAGAATGGGCAGGAACATGTCTGAAAGAGGTTACACTTCTAAATGGAGAGAGAGAGAGAGACAGTAAAAGAGAGAGAGAAAGCTAAAAATCAGACAGGATTTTTGCTTCCTGTGTTTTCGATCTCTGTTGTTAGATGCATACATATGGTAGATCACTTGAGGTCAGGAGTTCGAGACCAACCTGGCCAACATGGTGAAACCCCATCTCTACTAAAAATACAAAAAAATTAGCCAGGTATGATGGCATGCACCCATCGTCCCAGCTAGTTAGGAGTCTGAGGCAGGAGAATCGCTTGAACCCGGAAGCTGCAGATTGTAGTGAACTAAGATCGCACCACTGCACTGCAATCTGGGTGACAGAGCAAGACTCTGTCGCAAACAAAACAAAACAAAACAGTTTCCCTAGTATATTTTCCCTTTCTTTCTTTGCTGACACTTTTTTTTTCCTCTCCTCCAATTTTCCTCAAGGTCATTTTCATGCAGATGACCTGGATTTGTTGTGGGAAGAGATGGTCCCACTCAGCTTTCTGAAAATATGTATTTATAGCCAATACAGGTGCCACGGGACATCAGCACCACCTGCAGATCCCCCAGCTGCCCCGGCTTCCCATAGCCGCTGCCCCGGCTTCCCACAGCTGCCCCGGCTTCCCGAGGCTGCAGGACCAGGCTTCCCCCTTCCTCCTTGTCATAGCCCTGGTGCTGTTGAGAATCCGCCTGGTAGGCTGGCCAGCGGAGGCCTGGGGGCCTAATCCCACGTGAGGACAGATGTGTCCTTGTGGGAACTGAGGGACATAACCTCTCCTCACAGAGCCTCAGGTTTCCATCCATTTCCCTGGGGCTATGATGCCTGCCTGCCTCCCTCAGAAGGTTGGAATCACACTTGTTTTGGAGGGGAATCTTTGTAGGTCAAGTCCAGCCTCCCACTGGTGCTTGAATCCGTGCTCCAGGATGGCCACAGGTGGTCATCTAGCTTCCTTCAAATTCACTTATCTCATGGATGTGATTAGTGGGGGCCTAACATTTTGTTTATTTTTTAAAGTAGAATTAGACCGGGCACGGTGACTCATGCCTGTAATCCCAGCACTTTGGGAGGCCAAGGCAGGAGGATCACCTGAGGCCAGGAGTTTGAGAGCAGCCTGGCCAAGATGATGAAACCCCGTCTCTACTAAAAAAAAAACACAAAAAATTAGCCGGGTGTGGTGGTAGGTGCCCATAATCCCAGCTACTCAGGAGGCTGAGGTGGAAGAATTACTTGAACCCAGGAGCTGGAGGTTGCTGTGAGCTGAGATTGCCCCACTGCACTCCAGCCTGAGCAACAGAGCGAGGCTCCCGTCTCAAAAAAAAAAAAAATTACAGTTAGCATGATTGCTTATTTTCTGAATGTAAAAAGTTCTTTTTCTGGTTATTATTTACATGCTGATTGGAAAAACTTCATAAAATAAAAAATATCAATGAGAATCCTACCACCCAGATATAATCACTTTAATTTTCTATTCATATTCGCATATATGGATATACATATATATATATATATGGGATCATACTCTGTATCTATTGAGAGGGCATTAATCTGCATGTATAATTATTTAACAACCAGAGATTCATTTTTCTTCCTAGCTAGACTACCTATGGTGGCTGGCCGTGGTTCACTGGTTCAACAATGTTAGGTCCAGCATCTCTGTGAATCTCTTGGAATTTCCCTCATGACTGCAAGACAGCTGCTGCAGCTCCAGCCACTACATCTGTTTTCAATGCCTGCAAAGGCAGTCACTTCTGCATTTTTATTATAAAAGCAAAAACTTCAGAAAGTGACCCCCAACAGATTTCTCTTTAGGTCTTACTGGCCAGAACTCGATCTCAGGACCACCTCCAGCAGCAGAGAAAAGGATTGTCATGATTGGCTTTGGACCAATCACAATTCATTGACTGAAAGTGGGGATGTGGTCCTCACTCACAAACAAAATCAAGGAAGGAGGGAATTAACAATGTCTGTTACAGCATGCATGCTGTTTTATAATCTGCTCTCTTTCTCTTAATTATACATTACAAAATCTGTCCACATCAAAATATATAGACTCACTCACTCATTTAACAACAATTTATTGAGAGGATACTGTGTTCCAGGAACTTAACTAAGCACTGAGGGCACAATAATGAACGTAATAGAGTCCTTGCCTTCACAGAGCTTAGCGTCCAATGAAGGAGATAGAAATTCATCAAAGAAATTCACAAAGAAATGTAAAATTATGATGGTAATAAATGCTACAAAGGAGAGAGATCTGTGGTGCTGTGAGAGTGGTGATAGGGGATTTGATTCAATCAGGAGGGTCACTGTTTTGAATGGCCGTGTATCTGTCCCTTGCATAGCTGTGGCATGATGTCTTAGCCAGTCTCCTGTTGCTGAACATTGAGATTCTTTCCACATTTCATCTACCATCATCAACGCTATGATAAACTGCCTTCTGTAAGTATAGTCTAGCACAGTTGTCTGATTTCTTCCTTAGGGTAAATTATCAGGATAAAGCCAGGCACTGTGGTGTGCTCCTGTAATCCCAGCTACTCAGGAGGCTGAGGCCAGAGGATCACTTGATCCAGGAGTTTGAGACCAGCCTAAGCAATACGGCAAGACCTTGTCTCAAAACAACAAACAAACAACAACAACAACAACAAAACTAGAATAAATGAGCAAGTCCTACATGTGGAATTGCTGAATCAAGGGGCAGCCCCCTGTGAAGGCACTCACAGAAAAGCTGCCACCACTCCCATTCACATCAGCAACGTCAGAAAGAGCTCTGTTCCTCCACATTCTGCCAGCTCCACCTATTATTATCTTTATTACATCATCTTTACAAAATGATGCCAGTGTTATGGGTGAAACATAGCTTCTTGTTTTAATTTGCATTCCCCTGAGGTTAACCATGTTTTCATTTGTTTCTTTTGTGGGATCACAGATATTTCCAGTGGATGAATTCCCTTTCTTTTCCTGTCTGATTTCTAGTTCTCTCTCTCTGTCTCTCTCTCTCCATCTGTCTCTCTCTCTCCGTTAGGAACTGTAACCTCTTTCAGACATGTTCCTACCCATTCTTTGGGCAGCTCTCAGCACTGCAAAGCCCTCCTTCCATGGAAACTGTAGCTTTGTCCTTGTCCATCACTGGGGCCTTCCATGTGCTCCAGGGCAACAACCACAGCCCGCCCTGGTCCAGTCCCCAGTCACTCACTCACCCACGTCTTCTCCAGCCACCCTCCGCTCCTATTCTAAGCTCAGTTCACACCTACCCCAGGTCAATCCTGGAACGTGGTGGGGTGGCTCAGGGCTGGAGGCTTCGCCCAAGCTGTTCTCCCTCCCTGCTCTTCCCTAGCGAATCCTTCAGGACATAGCTTGGTGGGAGTTCCTCTCTGAGAAGCTCCTGCCGACTCTCCAGGTGGGGTCAGATCCCCGCCGTGCTTCCCTCTGCTCAGCACTGACCTGTCACTGTTCACTCTGCAGTTAGCCCGGGGTAGTAGAGGTTCCCCCAAGACAAGCATGGGTCAGATGCATGTCTCTTCCCCCAGTACCTAGCACAGGGGGTGGCACAAAGCAGGTGCATAGTGTTTGTGGTTAGAATAAATGAATAAGTGAACAAATGAATGAACACATGACTAGATAAAATCTAGCCCTCCTTACCCCCAGGCTTGCTGATCTGATCCCCAAAGCCTGGTCTCATCCACCTACCCACCACACCGTGTCTGCTCTTCTCCGGGATGTGCAGGGACTATCTGCAGAATCACCAGTGGGGCCCATTTTCTGACCTGGGGACTTCCTGAGTCACTGGGGCCCTCATTTGCCCTTGTCCTGGGTCATCTGTGAACTGAGCACTGCCTTGGCCAGGGCCCTGGTGTCTTGGCGGGAAGCAACAGCCTCTGCCACAGGGTTCCCTGCCCTGCTCTGCTGGATTTGTGGTCAGCAAGGAGGAATCCAGGACACCGGCTCTGCAAGCTTCAGTCCTGACCTGGCATCCACCCAGTGACATGAGTGGAAAAAACCTTTCACAGGGCAGGTTGAGAATGAAATCCCTGCCGCAGGGCACAAACCAGCCTTCTTGCCACCAATACGTGCCACCTTTCCCTTTTGTATCTGTTAGTATATGACCTGAATGTTTCTTTCATGTCACTCCTCTGCTCAAGAATCATCAATTAATCCCCCTTGCCCATCAGAACAAATCTGAGCTCCGTGGCAGGAATTCAAGAAGCCCCATGGCCAAGCTGCGGCCTCCCTCTCTGACCCTGTCCTCCACCACTCCAGCCAGGACAGTCTCCTTCTTCCTCCTTCCTTCCCCCAAGGCTTTGCCTATGCCATGCCCTCTGCCTGAGATACCCTCACTCCTTCATTCTACTGTTTTAAGTCCTGGCTTGCAACTCCCACCTCTTCTGGGTTGCCTACCAGCTATCCAATGTTTGATAACTCATTTAAGAAAAACAAACAACTAAGCCCTTCAGCACTTAAGAATCACCAGGCTTGCTTATGCAAAACCCAGGCCATCCCAGACTTTTCTGAGGATGGTTCTAGGACACTAGATTTTTAAAGTTTCCCAGGAGAGTCTGATGCCACCAGCCCAGCTGGGTCCATTGACAGGCACTTGGAAGCACTGACGATACAAAGCTCGAATTATACATGTGCTTGGATGACACAGTGCTTGTAGGCTTGAACGACCCAGGTGCACATGGGCACCTGATGTCTACACATTGTAACATCATCTCTGCAGGCAACACTAACAATGATAACTGACTTTACTGGGGGCTCACCAGGTGCTAGGCACATGCTACACTCAATATGCATGATCTCATCCAATCTTCACAACATGCCTATTGGGTCGATATCACTAACCTCAATTTATTAATAAGGAAATTGAGGGCCAGAGAGGCTAAGTCTCCTGGCCAAAGTCACAGAGCTGGCCAGTAGGGAAGCCTAGTCTCAAACCCAGCGCTGTTTACTCCAAAGCTGGTGCTCCTCAGCCCTGGGCTAGGAGTCCATGCCCCTGGGCCATGAGCCTTCAGAGTGGGCACCCGGTTCGGTTCAATTCTGTTCCACCAGCACTACTGTTCCTTGCTTTTGCTAAGTCCTGGGGATAGAAGTATTGGCGGGGAAGAGGCCCCTGTCCTTGAAGGACCTCCCAGTCCATGTGGGGAGACTGGTACTCACACAGCTAGTCATTCAGAAGTGCTGGGGACAGAGCGGGGCACACAGTTTAGGAGGGATTCGGAGGAGAGGGTGCAGTGGAGATGGATTCCACCGTGGAAGGGGAGAGCAGGGCTAATTCAGGCTCCAGGGAACAGGTAGGGTTTGAGGGATGACAGAGAAGGGGATGAAGGGCACCTGGGTGGAGGGAACAGCATGAGCCAAGGCAGGGTGGCTGGAAAGGTGAGGATGCCGGGGCTGCTGCACGGGAGCACATGGCAGATGATTCAGCTGGATGGGGCAGTTGGGGCCAGATCATGAAGGGCCTCAAATGCCAGCCTGAGGAATCTGAATTTTATCTTGTGGGCAATAGGCAGTCATGGAAGATGTTGCAGGGGGGTGTCTCCCTCCACACTAGCACAGGGAGATGCTCAGTGGAACCTTGCTGCCTGACTTATTGATACTGATTTTTCTCCTGTCCCACTAGGGTCAGAATGGCCTGGGGCTACTGGATGATTCCTGGCAGGAACAGAAAGCCCTGCAGCTCTACCTCCTCTCCTCCATTTAGCTCTTCTCCGCAAGGATGGGCAAATTATTCAGCTTCTCTGAGCCTCAGTTCCTCATCTATAAAATGGGGACAGCTGGGTGCAGTGACTCACACCTGTAATGCCAGCACTTTGGGAGGCTGAGGCGGGTAGATCATCTGAGGTCAGGGGTACAAGACCAGCCTGGCCAACATGATGAAACCTCATCTCTATTAAAAATACAAAATTAGCTGGGTGTGGTGGCAGGCGCCTGTAATCCTAGCTACTTGGGAGGCTGAGGCAGGAGAATCACTTGAACCCGGGAGGTGGAGGTTGCAGCAAGCTGAGATTGCGCCATTGCACTCTAGCCTGGGCAACAAGCGCAACACTCCATCTCAAAATAAATAAATAAATACATAAAAATAAAATGGGGACAATACACCAACCTTGCAAGCTGCGAGGATGAAATGAAGAAAAGTGTGCACAGCACAACAGGTGCATTGTTGAGTCTTATGACGTGGACCAGGTGGCATCGTGGGAAGAGCACAGGCTCAGAGGACCTATGTTTGAATATCAGTTTCTCCCCTGGTAATACCCATCTCTCAGGGCAGATGGAAAAATTAAATTCAATGAAATGATTTATGGGAAGCACCTGACACTCAGCAGCTGCCTGGAACCCTGTTTGACACCTGTCTGACAGCACAAGCAATCCTGCTCCTCCTCCAAGCTTCCAGGGTGCTGCCTCTCTCACTCAGCATGCTGCTCCCCTCCTGCCCCACAGGAGGCATTTTATACACCTTAGTCCCTGCACTTGCTGTTGGCTCACCTGCCTCTCAGCACTGGGCACACAGACTTTCTTTACCCCTTGCAAGAAGCTTTTACATGCATCTTCCTCCTGGTGAATGCACTCACCTATTGTTTTATTTATAGGCAGGACAGTGGCTCCCTGATGCATAGATGAGGGAAGAGACCCAGAGAGGGAAGAAGACCACCACTGTCTAAGCACCTAAATGTGCCTGAGGCATTATACCCAGTTCTTCTCCACAAAAGCCCAAGAGGGAGGTATTATCCTCCCCACTGCATAAATGTGGACATTGAGGCTCTGAGAGGGGCTGTGACTTGTCCAAGGCCACACAGCAAGGAACTGGCTGAGGCTGAAGGTAAAACCAGGTCTTTCTGATTCTGGAGCCTGGGATTTATAACAAACATTTGCAATGTGGGGTCGACAGATCGGTCCCCCAGGGCTGTTTCACGGACTAGATAGGGTAATAGGGGTGACGGTGTCTTGCATGGTGACAGGCACACAGTGCTCAGGGACTGGGAGCAGAAGTGGAATCTTGCCCACCCTCACCCAATTTTACAGAGAATAGAGGAGCCCAGGGAGGGCTGTGATGTACCCAAGGTCATGGCGAGCGGTCGGCAGAGCCCAGGTTCCCTGCCCCTGGGCCCCCTGCCTTCCCTTGCCCACCCTTTCCAGTTAAGGGCAGGGGCCATCCCTCCAGGGCCTTTCCCTCTCCAGAGGGTGGAAACTTCCAGAGTCCCTCCAACCTGACAGGAGAGTGACCAAGAGCAGGAATTTTCACCCTGGCACACACACCTGGAGCCTGGAGCTGAACGCTAGAATCCCAGGCTTTGCCACCCCAAAAGGCCCCTCCTGACCCTTTCAGAGCCTCCCAGCCTTCTCCCCAGGACCTTCACCAGCACCTTGCCCCTCTCCCAGTGGAGAGGGGGTGCCCCAGAGGCTCTGATGCTCTTAGAGGGGACTGCAAGTTGGCAAGGCCAGGGGCATGAAGCACAGTGTTTTATGATTTTATTTTATCCTAGATAAGGTTGAAGAAGACACCCAGTCATAGAATGAGCCCCGCCTCCTGACAGCAGCCGGTTCAGAGCAAAGGCCTGCTTCTTAAACCCTCGCCAAGCCACTGAGCACTGGCCCAAATCCAGTAACAAGTCCTTTCTAATACCTCTTTCAGAGACTCCCCCTGGTTCGCTGTGGTGTTCATTCCCCCTTACTGCAAGAAGAAACCCAGCTTGTTAACCACAGGTGAGGTGTGCTCCCAGTGGTCTTTGGCTGCAGGGCATTGACAAGATAGGTCCCATCAAACACCCCCATCACTTCCAAGATTCCAAGATATGCGCACTTCATCTGTCATTTGCACATGAGAAAGCTGAGGGCTACGGAGGCAACCAGACTTGTCAAAGGTCACAGAGTAGGTAAGGTAACATTGTATCATCCAAATGAGGTATCTTCGAGCGTGAAAGGGGCCTCCTAATAACTTAGCAGAGGCAGTCGGTGTCAACCGGGACCTTCCTGGGCAGATCAGGTGTGTGGTCTCCCCATCATGCAGCAAGAGCCAGGGAGACCAAGCCTGGGTCTCACCATCTCACTCCACTACCCCAAGCCCCCTGCAGATGCTAACTCTAGAACAGGGTTACCATCTTCCTGCTGGCAGGCCCAGCAACCAGAGGCTCTTGTTTAAGTCTAAAGCCACTGCGGTTGTGGTTCAGGGGTGTGGGGAATCACTCCTGAGATTCAGCACCACACAGCACACCCCACGGTCATGCCACTGCAGTGAGGGCTTACTTCCGGAAGAGGGCCTCTGGTGCCCGTCAGGCGTAAGGCCTCACGTATCCTGCCCCGAGGGAAGGGGTGGTTTTAAAGAAAAGAATTTGCAGGTGAATGAAGATGACCCCTTTAAATGTTGAAAGTAGTTTTATTTTAGCCCTTAGTGCTGACGCTGTTTCTAACGTGGGTTGTAGGCTGCCCTGCCTTAGGCAACAGAGCACAGGAGCATGCTACCCCTCACCTCATCCGAAGACTCAGCTGTGACCAGGAACTCCTGTCCTGAGTCATGACAGCAGAGAGGGTGTACCCTGTGGCATCCTTCACTGCAGAGGCAGAAATGACCCAGAAAGAAAAGGAAGTGTGTTCCCAGGGCCATGACCTTGTAACCCAGCACACAGGGGCATCTCCTTCCCTAGGCCAGGACCCCCGGCCTCAACCCGGAAGCCCTTCCCTAGGCCGGGAACCCCAGCCTCAACCCAGAACCCCATAGCCCAGGTGAAGGTCTCTGACTCCCAGGTGGCCCAGGGTGCAGGCTCTGAGGGCGTGGTCCTGGTTTGAGGTAGTGTTACTGCCATTTTCTCTGCAGCTGCCAGGATCCTGGGCTGGGGCACAGGCAAGCGTTGCAGGGATCAGCGTAACAATAGCATCACCCTGAGATGGTTCAATAGGGTACAGTGATGTCTTCAGGGGCTGCAAAGACAGCTTGAGCTATTTCCCCACCATACTCAACTGCCCCAAACAGCTGGGAGGCTGTCACTCTTCTGCCTCTGGTGTGTCCATTTTTTACTTCTCTGTTCCCACCTCAGCTTCTGCTCTGCACTCACAGAAATCAAGCTCACTAGATTGTGAGCCCTCTGAAGGCAAGCACGGTGTCAGTAGTTCATGTCTCTTTACCCCTAGAGATCACAGCTCAATATCTGGCATATAGTAGATGCTCACTAAATGCCATCCAATTCCAATTGTTTTGTTTTGAGGCAGGGTCTCACTCTGTCACCCAGGCCGGAGTGCAGTGGTGCGATCTCGGCTCACTGCAACTTCCATCTCCTGTGCTTAAGCTATCCTCCAGCTCAGCCTCCCAAGTAGCTGAGACTACAGGTGTGCACCACCACGCCCAGCTAATTTTTGTAGTTTTAGTAGAGATAGGGTTTCGCTATGTTGCCCAGGCTGCTCTCCAACTCCTGGCCTCAAGTGATCCACCCACTTTAGCCTCCCAAAATGCTCAGATTACAGGCATGAGCCACCGCACCTGGCTAGCCAACTGATTCAAACTGAAGTAGGCCAGGAAGATGAATTTCACCTACAATTCCAAGTCAAAGCAAATGTATTCCAGAGGCAGGGGTGGGGGGTGGTGTTCCTCTGGGGGCTTTTTGCCTGCTTTGTGAATACATACAGGCCATTTAGAAGTTTGAATGCTGGGAAGTAAGAGGGCTGTGAGTCTAAAAGTTGGGAACGTGGGGGAGAGTGATTTTATCTGCAACAGGTTCCTGGGTCCTGGTGAGTTCTGTACACCCTTGATGACCACCGATTCTGGGCCAGGCCAAAGGCCCATCTGGGCACAGGCGATCTCAAGGTGAGTAAAGTCAAGATGCTGCCCTTCAACGGGAGGCAGGCAGCCATGCCACACTGACAAATATACAGGTCCCAAAGGCAGCGCAGAGAGGCAAGACCACCTGGTTCCAGGAGGCAGCGACATCAGGAAAACCTTTCCAAGGGAGGTCATCTGTGTAGGGGTTTGAAGGGTGAGCACGAATTTGCCAAGCTGAAAAGGGAGCCAAGGGCATCCTGGTGGAGGAGAACAGCTTGGGCAAGAGTGTGAGCCGCAAGATGGGCAGGGGGGCTAGGCTTGGAACTGGAGGAGCAGAGAGAATGAGGTCAGCAGGGGTCAGTCACAGAAGGTTTTGGGTCCTGGCCAAGGAGCGATGGGAGCTGCAGGAGGAATGTGGCCCAGGAGGAGATGAGGCTCCCTCTGTGTAAAGACGGATCACGCCATCTACCAAGTGGACTATAAGACACAATAGGAATGGGAAACCTGACTGGCCTTCACAAAGGATCAGGGGCCCAGAGGGAGCACCAAGGAAGGTTCCTCTCAGAGGTCAGCTTTGGGGGAAGGTGGAAAATGCTTTTGAGGGCTTCAGCTGCTGCAAACCTCAACAAATCATATTTTGCCTTCAAAGGTTGGCCAAAGACCACTAACTATTGGAAAAACAAGAGTCCACTAATAGTCATCATCCCCTCCCTGTGTATTTCTTTACCATTCTCAAAATGCCACCATCTCATTGAACCTCCATATCATCCCATTTTGCAGATAGGGAAACTGAGGCCCTGTGATGTCACACAGGGGTCAGCAGCAGTTCCAGACTAGAAGCTACGGAGCACAAACATCTCAGCCTTGGGTGTCAGGCTCAAAACCCAGCTCCTTGTCCGGGAGGAGGTCCCCGGCTCCATCTGGCAGCCCATAGTACAGGTCTTCCTCTTCCTTCTCAGGTTCCTCCCCACCTGTGTCCGAAGCCTCCTTCTCCTCCACCTTTGTCCTTGGGTACCGCTGCCAGTTGTTGGGCAGGGCTATTTCCCACTGCTGCCCCTCTTGGGGCTCATCCTCCAACGTTGGGGCATCAATCAGGGCAAAGTCTT